>NC_000002.12:57766109-58069140 GCF_000001405.40 Homo sapiens
ATAAATTTGCCCCTGGCACATGTATACACCTCATGCTAGCCTCATGAAACTGTAATAAGCCTTTGAAAACAAATTTGTCCTTGAAGCTTGTATCTGATAGCAAGACTGGACTGTAGAACTTGTTGCTGATTTTAACCTTGTATTCAGGTTAACTATTCCCTAGTCATTTGTTTAATACACTGTACATACCTTTGATTTCAACCTTTAGTACATGTGGCTGGGTCAGTTCATGGCTGAGGAAAGAACATGCTTGTGAGAGACAAGTCCATGGCGTGGTGAGCCCGAGTAGCCAGTAGTCTCCGATCTGCAGAGGGTATTAAAGTGTCATGGCTGAGTGTCATGGGATTTCTCCAGAGGCTGGCAAGGGCTCCTGAACCAGTTGTCATTTCTATCTTGCCGGTCTCTTAGGGTTGGAAAAGTCCAAGCTGTAGGATCCCGCTTCCTTTCTTACCTGATGTTTTCCTGCCAGAACACCATGGACTGTTACTTGCCTTGAGTTGGAAGCAGTTTGCACTTACACCTGTAAATTTATTCATCCTTTAAATTTATGTGAGGGTTTTTTGTACACAATTCTCGATTCTTTAAGACATGATAACAGACTTTGGTTTTCTACTGTTATGTGAGAACATGAGGCCCCAGCAACACATCATTGTGTAAGAAAAAATGAAAGTGCTGCCATAACCAGAAAAAAAAGATAATGATGTGAAACCACTTCGAAAAGTGGTTTCAAATATATTGGAATATTGAAAATGCAGTTACTATTAAAAAAATGATGTTTTCAGTGATGTGCTGTTAGGTGTGCATTAGGTTATTTTTATTTTATTAAGTTAGCATAATCTGCAGAACTAGGATGGCAAATTTAAGCCTGCTCAGGCTAGGTGTGGCTGTTCTGAGACTCATCATGCCCCAAACTGATCCCACACAGTAAGATTTTTTTCCCACAGGGAAAGGGAAAGCATTTGTAGCTCTGGCGTGCTTCAACAGTTTTCATTTCTCCAATATGGAAATCATGGCATATGATACCAAAATTGCATTATCCAAACCCCATTGCAAATATGTTCTCCATATTTTTATCAGAAATAAAGTTTCACAAACCCACCAAGTGGTACAATGGATCGACATTCCTCTTCCTCTTTCATATTAATGGATTTTACTCTGTCCTATCATAATAAACAAAACACCAGTATAATAATTAATAACTAAGCTTAGGCCTTCAGCGTTTTCCAAGATCTCTAAACAATGAAGATACAGCCACAAACAGCAATTTGACCTACTAAAGAGATTTTGAAGAGGGACAAAAAGAGCAGTATTTCCACTTTAGACAGAACACTTCATTAAAAACAATCCTCAATAAATATTGAAACAAAGGTACTTCTTTTTCCTTTATCAGCAACCCCCTCATCTTTTACTCATTGGTATGTTCAATGACCAGTGTGTTTGCAGTACTTATACCTACTCATGTTCTTTCTTGAGTGCTCAAAAAGATGATCACAGAACAAGGTCCTCAATTACAATAAATAGAACACTACACATTTAGTACATGCCAGAAAAATGGACTGTAATATTAAATCAAATGAGATCAAAATTCAATTCAGAAAAAAATATGAAGCACCAAGCTAAGCATCAGCTCTATTATTTTGCCAGTGTGTAAAAGATATATGTTGATATTTAATGAATGCATGAGGAAAATTTGTATCAAAATACTAAAGGAAGGCTAGTACAATGCACATGGTTCTTATCAATGTGAAAACAGCAGAAACTCTTACATGTTTCATCAAAGTTCAAAATGTTTTACAACATGCTCGAACTAGTCTAAATAGATTCCCTGTTTTTGGTGTAAATTCAGAAAGAAGTTATTTCTTAGATCTAAGATTTAAACTACTTTGGAAATAAAACATGAAGGTAAGAGGGTTGCCAAAAGTGCATATATGTATAGGAAAAGACAGACAGCTTCCACTCTCATTGCCCATTAATCTTACACATTCTATATGTAAGTATAGAAAAACTCAGTCTCTTTGGCATTTGGAATATTCCAATAATGGACATAATTAGAAATAAAAAGGTAAAGTAACTTCAGGGTGGCCACATAACAATTTTCTTCTTCTTATTATTATTATCTTGAGACAGAGTCTTGCTCTGTCACCCAGGCTAGACTGCAGTGGCGTGATCTCAGGTCACTGCAACCTCTGCCTCCCGGGTTCAAGCAATTCTGCTGCCTCAGCCTCCCAAGTAGCTGGGACTACAGGCATGTGCCACCACATCCAGCTAGTTTTTGTATTTTTAGTGGAGATTGGGTTTCACCATGTTGGCCACGCTGGTCAATTTTCAAAAACTACAAACACATACAATAGATGTACCACTCAGATTTCTCAATGGAGACTTCTTGAAATTTTGAATTACAAGAAATCTCTCCCATTATTGAGAATGATTACTCATGATTTTTTAAATCCATGAAGTGAACAGATGCTGTTTGCACATTTTTATAGAATTATTAGAATAGAGATAAATAAATTGATTGGTCAAGGGATTGCATCCTTTATATTGGAATAAAGACTATAATTAAAGGGAAGTCTATGTTAAGGGTCATGACAATCAAAATAGTATCTCAATACATTTTGGAAACAAAACAAACAGGACTGTCAGTATGATGCTAGTACACTCTTATATGAATATCATGATTCTTTCTGAAGCACATTGGTAGAAGTGCCAAGATTTCAATACTTAATGTATTCTAAAACAGTACAGATTAAAATATATTAATATTTTAAAGATTACATATAATATGTGTGTGTGCATGTGCGTGTGTGTGTGCATGTTCCTCTGGAAGTAGGGAGTAAAGGCTATGCCTTGTTTTCCCAAATAGCTTACTTTGTGCCTGTGTTTTCAGGTCTTACTCTTTCAATTCACAGATGAATAAGCACTAGAGTTTAAGAGTGGAAGGGTGCAACACACCAATACCAATCTGGGCCACACTTACCATTATATCTATATCCATGTAAAATGTTTTAAAGTCCATCTTATTTGAAAAAAATTAAAGGATCTATTTTGAGACTGTTTACCAAGTTGATATCCTGGCACATAACAGGTGTTCAACAAAAGCTTATGGAGCAAGGAAATGAACATGCCAACCCCAAAGAGTCACCTCTTCATTGAAATGCTCACCTATTTAGGTTGCATTCTTCCTTTCCTGGACCCTCCCTTTAACAGCTAACTCATCTTTCTTATCAGTTAGTGAATTCCACTCTAGACTTTACTACACGTTTCTTAATAAATAGTCCTCGAAGTAAAAAACAAAAAACAACTAGCTGACAAAGTAACCCAAATGGTGGTATCAAAGGATCTGTGGAGTTCATCTGGAATAAGAATATAGAGCCAGGTGACCCTTAGCCACCCCAGATGTCATCTCTTGTGCTCTACCGTGCTGAAAGCTGCACCTAGCAGGGAGAGTCAAGAGGAAAGTGATGCCATCGCTGTAGCAGGCAATGTAGCAGGTTTAGGTATCTCTTACCAATTCCTTTCTTTCTAAGTAAAATAATTTTTAAGTTTCAAACTTTATTTTAATGAAAATATTTTGGAAACTGGATAACAAGTACCAGAATAATAGATTATATAATTTTTAGTTTTATAGTATGGTAATAGCAAAATGTTTTAGCAGTATACTTTGACGAAATAAACACCCTAGTAAAAGGGTCAGATTGCTAAATGGTACAAGGAGGTCTAGTGGAAGCCCAAATGCCCTTGGCTTGATTTTCAGCTCCAGCAGTTACATGCTGCAAACTGTGTCTCTGTTTCCTTACCTCTAAAGCAGACATACAAGTCAACCTCAAAAGTCTGTACTGAGAATTCTAAAGGTAATATATATAGCTTAATCTAGGTATCCTGCAAATGTTAGACTCCTTTTCCTTGACCCTCTCTCATGCAGCACACACACACACACACACACACACACACACACACACACAGTGCACTTCATTTTCTTCTTAAACAAGATACAAATAATGAAACTAATTTCCCTTGACTTTTCCAGCGAAGTTATGGTAATATATTATTTATAATACATAACCACAAAATAGTATATGCTTTGTCCACATGTTGAAACTTTACTTCTATAGAACACATAAAATGTAAGTTTTCATCATTTAGGGAGAAAAGCTTTCTAAACCACATTTTTTCTTTCCCTAATTTTTAATGATATTATAAATCTGATAAAATGTATGCGTACTTATTGCAGAAATTTGAAAAATATACAAAAAAGCACAAAGAAAACAAATGAAAGTAATTAATTCCCTAACTCAGAAACCATTATTACTAATCTTGATTTCCTTTCTATGCATTTGAATTGGATTATCCACTACATCCTGTTTTGTAACCTTTTTACACTTATTAATGTTCTATGAATATTTTGAATGCTTAAGTATTTTTAAACATTCTATATAATATAAATATCATTTTAATGGCTGCATATTATTTTATCTTGTGGTTATACCACAAATTGTTTAATCAAAGCCATATTGTTGGACATTTGAGGTTGTTGCTGTGGCCATTGTTTTTAAGCAATACTGTTAGAATAAACTGCTATGTACCCATCCATGACCCAGCTTCAACAATTATCACCTCATGGTCAGTCTTGTTTTATCTGTACCCTTACGAATTCCCCATACCAACCTCAGATTATTTTGAAACAAATCCACTCATTATTTCATCTGCACATATTTCACTGTGTGCCTTTAAATTAGACAGTGTTAAAAATCCTTCATCTTTACCCCTTCTTTCTCCTTCTTCCCTTTCCTTCCTCAGACTGTTAATATCAACATCCAAATAAGATCCATACACTGCAAATAGTTAAGAGGTTCCTTTCTGTGTTTTTCCCCTTGCAATTTATTTGTCAGCAAAAACACGAAGAAAAACAAACAAAAATAGGCCAATGAACCTATAGTATTTCCCATGTTTTGGATCAGTGTCATTTACCATGCTCCTCTATCAACTGTACTTCCTAGAAATAGAGTCTTAGATAAGGAATTTTGTCCAAATTTTGGTTCTACGTTTTGGCAAGAATATTTCATAGATGGTATGGTATACTACCCTCAGGTGGTACATAATACAGGATTGTTTACTTTTTTCTGATGTTAGCAGCCATTGATGATCCATGCCTGGATCCATTAATTTATCAGCATTGTACAATGGTGATATAACAGTTTTGCTAATATAAATAACACTACATAACTAAAATATTATAGCTGAATATCTGGGCACATCTATATATATGTTTATTTTTTAAAAATCCTTAAAAATATCTGAATCAAAGTGTATCAACATTTGGAAATTTACATTACCATACATATTGTCCAACTATCCTCTTAGGAAGTTACACTAACCATCATCTCAGTGTTGGCCATTAGTATTGTTTTAAGTATTTGCTCATTGCCAAGAATAAATTCATTGTGGTTCATTTTCAAATACTTTGCTTACCAATAGGATTAAACATACTTTATTTAAATTTAAATTTTACTTCTTTTGTGAATCGGCACCCTTGTTCTTTGATCATTTTTCTGTTAGGTGTCTTTCTTTTTCTTTTCTTTTTCTTGGTTCCCTTACGATATTTGGTTAAGTGTTCTGGAAACTATCTCTTATGAGTGAGATCTATTGTGATATACAAATGCGTACCTATAACATTCAAGTATTCTGTATGCTATGTTAGCCCAGCCTAACATTTTATCCAAGATTCTGGTTGAAAATGGCAAAGCAAACATCTGCAAGACATGCTGAACATGATGTTCATACTATTAGGAATAGAACTTTAATATGCTACAAAGAGGGACTGAGGTAACCGGGCTAGTCTACCATTATGCTCAGCAAAGGATTTGTTTTACTCTTATAATTTAAACATTAAGCCGATTAATTTTCTAATGGTTTTATGATTAAGAAACACAAAACATTATACTAAATACCGTGGCCATAAAAAATTGTCATATTCCCATATAAAAATTATAGATTCATTTATCTCTAGGCTTTGCAAATATTCTTTTTTCCACAAAGAAAAAAACAGCAATTTTTATTATGAAGCACTTAAAAGGTAATAAGGAAGCTATCACAGTAAAAAAATTATTGATATATAGGTTGACTCTTGTCATTTAAGATTCCTGTAGCTAAACATACCATATGCCTTAGAACAGGCTTTATGCTAGAATAAATACTTATAGATGCAGCCATGCACATTCAGTCCAATTTTCTGAATACATTTCCCTAAAAAGGTGATACAAATCATTGCAAGTCTATAACTGACATACTACACTTTATATAATCTAAGGCCAAATATAAAATTTTATAAGTAATCTTTGTAGGAGAGGTAGAATGTTGAGCCTACATCAGTGGGGAAAACATAATATTTATAATTGAATCAAATAGCTAAGAAACACAATTAGGTATCTGCCACATCAGTATTCACATTTGTGCATTAAGATCATGCAAATGGAATTAATTATTGCTCAAGTCATTTAGTTACAAGCGGTAGCTAAACTCAACAGTTTTCCAATTTCAAGCATATATAATATGTAATAGAAATAATACAGTTCATAATGAACAATGGAAAGAGAAGAAAAGTGGGAGAGAAGGAAAAAAAGGGAAGACCAGAAGAAAAAGGGGAGAGAAGAAGGAAGGAAAACTTGCCAAGAAAACACTTTTCATTTCAGAGAAAATCATCTTTCCATTATAATAACCACAATGCCTATTTTACTATAATCAGTTTCATAACTGTCTTTTCAGTTAAACATCAAATAAGTTCACATTTGAATTTTAAGATAATTCTTGTGTAGTGTCTAAGTAAAACCCAAATATTTTACATTAATTTCCTCAATAGATCACAAATTGATACAATTTAAAATGTAATCAACATTCTAAACTATTGCGGATCATGAGGTCAAGAGATCGAGACCATCTTGGCCAACATGGTGAAACCCCGTCTCCACTAAAAATACAAAAAATTAGCTGGGTATGGTGGTGCACGCCTGTAGTCCCAGCTACTCAGGAAGCTGAGGCAGGAGGATAGCTTGAACCCGGGAGGCAGAGGTTGGAGTTAGCTGAGATTGCACTACTGCACTCCAGCCTGGCAACAGAGCAAGACTCCATCTCAAAAAAAAAAAAAAAAAAAAAAAAAGACAGCACAAATTTTTCACCTTCTTAGAAACGCAAAATCTTCCTCAAGAAGGGTTATTTTGCTTCAAATTCTATCGAGTTGAGTGAGGAAGGCTTAACTAGGCCTTTATTTAAATGTGGGCATTATTTAAACTTTCTAAACTCCCGAGAGAGTAACAACAGGGCCTACCTCACAGAACTGCTATACCTTCACACATGATGACATAGATAAACTTAGTGAATATTCGTTATTGCTGTCATCTCAATGATCATCATCATTATGTCATCAAAAGTGTCTGGGAATTTATATATCAAGAGTTTCCCATAAAAATAGTTAACCTGTAAAAAACTTCCACTCACCTAGCAAGGATGTCTTATTATACAGTATATCTGTCTTAAAGTAATTTTTTCAAATGAAAGCCAGTGAAATCAGTGGTTCTCAGTAAGGGGATAAGTTTGCCCCCCAGGGGATAATTGTTAACGCCTGGAGACATTTGTATAGGGGTAGAGGGTAGGGATAGCGGGGCTGGGGAGACTACTGGCATCTTGTCAGTAGAGGCCAGGGATGCTGCTAAACATTCTACAACGCACAGGACAGCCCCACTGCAACAAAGAATGATCAGGCCCAAATTTTAATAGTGCCAAGGTTAAGAAACCATGTAGTAGGGTCACCATATTCCTAATAAAGACATTCACCAAAAAATATTCAGGCCTTCACTAAAACAAATAATCTTGAAAGTCTCCAATGTATTTTCCTAATTTATGTTTAATACCAATTGCATTAAAATCTACTGTTTCACAAAGCTTAGTTCCATAATCATAGTTGTATTACCCACTAAGAGTATTCACTTAAATATCCATGAAGTTATCATTCCTTTCTTGTATAATCTAATAGCTTATTTATACCTTTTGGGGAAATTCTTAAGAGGCACTAGTAATTTTCTACATTTGATATTTTAATATCTAGAATGTATATTTTTATCTTATTTCACTAGGAGAAAAAATACGCCATGAATACATTAGCCATATGAAAAAGACAATGAGGTTTAGTAATTAAAATTGAAAAGGTAAAGAACTATGCAGTAATTAGAACACTGATTAATCAACTGATAATTTTATCTTGATTAATGTTGCTGATTTCTCTTCTTATTGACCTAGGTAAAGTAGGTTTAGACCAATTAAATATAAATTATTCTCCTCTTTTTACATTCTGGTGGGCAGCTTCCAGTATTCTAAGTCACACTACATTTAAGAAGTACCATTGAAATGCTTTTACTAAATTGGGCAGTTCAACAAAAGATAGAATTAGGTTTATGTTCCAAATATACTGATGCTTTTACCTCAGGCTAAATTATACAGAGCTGGTTTATTTCAATATTACCTAGGGAATATTAAAATTAGAATAAATTATTATTTTTGAAAAATCCTCTGAAAACACTCAGTTAAACAGCTAGGTATATATTTTACTAAGTCTAACGTGAGAAATCAGAAGGACTCAAATTAACGAATATAATTAGTATCACATGTAGGGTCTCATGTCATGAAAGTCTGCAGCTATGCTAGTTAATAGAACAAATTCTGGTATTAAAAAAATAACAATCATTAATTCTTAGCCAATCAGTTTTCTAGAAGAGATCCCCCCTAAAAAAAAAAAAAGAAAAAACAAATATAGAGAACTATTGTTGGAGATTCCTGAATTCCATAAATGTGTATCTTCAGTAAAGCCCATTTTTTAAAATCCTAAGACCAAAAAAAAAAAAAAAAACAGCTACAGCTAATAAATGAAAATTATGATTTACAAAGAGTGAAATCTCTCTTCTTGTCAATTAAGTTGATTATACTCAGGTAACAAAGACATTTTGATAAAGCCAAGCAGTTAAGATATTGTTGCAGTCTGTAATTTGCTGCATCTTGCCCTCATCTTCTAATGCAGGATCCAGTCTCATCCAACTAGCAGTTCTTTGATAGATCAGCTGGTAGAAAACCAGCTTCCTCTACCCTTCTCTGCTATCCCCTTTCCCTATGTGTCTGGCCCCATATCTCCAACTACTGCTGAAGCTCTGGAAGTGCTAAAGCTGCCCAGTTTTCAGTAGATGAATGTCTTCATAGGTTACTGCTTGAGAGGGAGATGTCAAAGCAGGGCTTCATGTACTGAATCTTAGAAAATCTCCTTTACATACGTATATCACATATGTAAGATTATATATATATATAATTTAGTGTTTCTTTAAGGCCTCAGAAGGCACATGAAGATGATTATAATAAAAAGAGCAACCACAAACAACAGCATCACCTAACAGTATATGGGCACTTGCTCTGAGGCAGGAACTTTGACAAAGGCTGACATTTATTGAATCATTAGTCCTCAAACAGTCCAATGAGCTGGAATCTATTTTAGCCTCCTTTCATAGTTGAGGACTAAGCCACAGAAGGATAAAAAAGGAGAATGCAGGACTGATGGGAATTGAACTCAAGGATTCTGACTCCCCTGGCTCTGATTTTTGGTTGTTTGGACTCTGGATTTTAGCAACATAAATACCATATGAGAAGAGGGAGTTATTTATCCATTTTATAGGTAAGTATAGGTACGTATATGTTCAATAGGTATATATTTATGACTAATAGTGATTTAAATAACAATGACTAATGTAATTATTGATAATGCTTTACTGTTTATAAGTACATAAAATACATCCAGGGTCCCAGTGAAATTTCACAGTCATTGTTAATGATAGGAAGGTTGATACAGAAAGGGCTTCCCCATTAAATGCTCGGGTGGAAGACTGTTTTTAAAATTATCTTGGATTTTTTTTAACACAAGGACCATCTATTTAATAAGTTTATTCAATATATCTAGCCTCTTCCCAACCCCTGTTCAAGTTGCTATATTTGATACTAATGGTTATCTGTTCATTCACACATTTGACAATTCCAGAAG
This sequence comes from Homo sapiens, assembly GCF_000001405.40. NCBI lineage: Eukaryota > Metazoa > Chordata > Mammalia > Primates > Hominidae > Homo > Homo sapiens. The sequence continues at coordinate 57,776,179 of NC_000002.12, forward strand.
ATAACAGCAATGAATAAAACTGTCCTCATGGAGCTTACAGACTAATTACATAAAGTAAGAGCTAAAACTGATGACAGTGAAAAACTAGGAGCATTTTATTTGTAAGTTCTTTATAGAAGTCAGAGAGTTGGTGTCTGATCTGAAATGTTTAAACAGAATTTCAACTTCAATATTTTAAGAACTTTTTAAAACTATTATAGTTAATCTGACACATGGATAGCTCTTGGTAATTAGCAAAGTATTGGCTTTGTCCCCAAATCCCTGTGATTTAGGTCAAATTTTTGGCCCTGTTTTACAGAGGAAGAAACTGTGGCTCAAAGAAAATAGGCTACTTTCCCAAAAATACAAAATGAGTAGAAAATCTAGAACTGAAAATGTAAGATGTGCTGGGCAAACCAAACAAATAAAATACTAACAATAAACATACATGCACAAGATTATATGATAAGGAGCCATGTGAACAAAGCTCATTTATTCTACAAATGTTTACTCTGTCTAGTATGCAGCCACATGTAATATGTGGTCTTCTATTTGCACCGTGATGATTGAGTAAACATTCAACTGAATACAGAAGTGAACAAAAAGAGGCAATGCACAGTTACAGCATTACAAACCAAGACAAGGTGTGAATCCATGAAAGTATCTGGTATGCCTAAGGAATTATGACTCCTGAGGGTTACTAAAGCACAGGGTCAGTGAGGAAGAAATGTTAAATGACAGTCAGGACTGTATACTGAAGGATCTATGGGAACTGTGCAATGAATATGCACTTAATTTTGTAGGCTGTGTAGAACCATTAAAGGTTTTAAATGGAAGATGTGAATTTTGTGCGATATGATTAATATTGTAGGAAATTAACACTGTCAGCACAATGAAGGAAGGATTGGCAAGGTGAAAGCTCTCCAATTTGCTTATCTCCTCCGAGGCTCACAGTGTGTGTGTGAAGAACAGATAATAAGTCCACATGGCTGAAGGGGAGAGCAACTGGAAGACAAACACAGGAAGGAGAGACTGGAAAGTTAGATTAGGTCAAGACTCTGCAGGACTTGATTGTTAATAACTTAATCTTTCTTTTATAGGCAGGCTTTATATCACTTATGATCACAATTATATTAGTTGTCCATGTGCATTTCCCTCAGTACCTAGCAATGGATCACTGGCTTGTACCTGTGGTAGGCAAGCGGTACATTTTTTAGTAATTTTATATATAAGGCTAAATCTAATCAAAACTGATGAAGACACAGGAATTTCTGTAAAAACATAAATACGCATTCTGAAAAAAATAACCCTCAAGTTCTACAAAATTGGACAATAAAAATAAAAATTGATTTTAAGGGAGAATTTTAAGATTTTAAGGAAAAAATTATTAGGGGCACTAATTATAATCTATGAAACTTGTAAGTTGAGCTCACAATAAAATCATTCTAATTTTAAATATTTTCACAGTTTAAAAGACATGTTAAGTGACTAATAAGTAAAGAAATACTACAGTAAATATGAGACTTCACTTTTAAATAATGATGAGTAAAAGTGGCTTGATGGAAGAGAGTGTAGGAAAAGCTGAAGCTGCTGAATTATATAAAAAACAACAAAACACACACTGGGAAAACTGCTCAATTAGATCATCCAAAACAGGATATGGTTAAATTGAACCAGTAAAATAACTTGCAGTCAATAGACTATGTCTCTATGTTTTGCATGTTCTGCTGTGTTGGCTTCACTTTGAGTCTAAATGCGATTACAAAATATGAATTGCAATATGAACCTACATGATTCCATCTAAACAGGTATCATTCCCATGTTTACAATAGTGTAAGAGCTAATTAACTTTACAGAAGCACACTTAAAGCAGGATAGACTATAACTGGAATTACTGAAAGAATCTTCTAACATCAACTATATGGACATTTTTTAAATAAACATACAATGAGGAATATTTATAACATATGAATAATATGTGAACAAAAAAAGCAATAAAACAAATACCCACACAGTCCCCATCCAGTTTTTTAAATAACGTTTTTGCTATTTCTAAGGCCACCTCTCTGGTCATATCCCCATCAGCACTGCACACTTAGAGGTAACCATGATCCTGAGTTTAGTCCATGTTATGCCTTATTTATTATCTTAGTAATATTTTGATTTTGCATATTTTATTTTTTTATAAATGGAATTATATTGAAAATAATCTATGCCTTGGTTTGTTCACTCAATACTATGCCGTTTAGACTTCATAATATATATAGTTGTAGCAAGTCCATTCATATTGCCTTATAATATTGCATTTCATGAATACATAAAATTCACTTATCCATTCTACTGACAATGGATATTTGGGATATTTTCCACTTCCCTTGCTACTATAAACAAAATATTTATTCATGTTATTTTTCATATCTACAAGTACACTTGTAAAGAATTTTTGTTGGATAAATTCTGCTGGATTGTAGGGAATCTATATGTTCCACTTGATTATATGATACAGAATGATTTCTAAAGGGGTTCTAACTATTTTCATTTCTGAATACATTTTATAAGAGTTCCTATTCTTCTGCATTTCTACCAGCACAAGATATTGAAGACTTTTAACTTCTACCAATCTGTTAACTGTAAATGGTATTTTATTATAATTTCAATTTGTATTTTATGACAGCTAATGCAGTCAAACATTTTTTGTTCGCTTCCTAATCATGCATCCTTTAATGTGAAATGCAAATTTGTCTTTACTTTGGTATTAGTTGTCTTTTACATATAAATTTGTACGATATCTTTGTACATTATAGATTCTAATATTTTGTCAATACGTGTGTATGTATATATTTTACATGCACATTCACACATATATATAGTTAACATGTTCTTCACATTTGTGGTCTATTTTCACTTCATGATATCTATCGAAACAGATACATATTTATGAAGTCAAATTTGCCTTTGTTGTCTAATTCTGTTTTTATTTAAAACTTCTTAACCCCAAGACAAAAATATACTCTCCTGTATTGTCTTCCAAAATTTTAGAAATTCACATTTTAATAGGCTTTTAATAAATGGAACTAATTTTTGTATATATTGTGACAAAGAGTGAGGCAAGTTAGGTTATTTTTTTGCCCCCATATTGACAAGCACCTGTCTCAGCACACCTTATTGTACTCGGTACTTTCCCTCACTGACATGTCAGTGGGGTCTTAACGAAAGTGTTGGTTTCTGGGCTTTCTCTTCTGTTCCCACTGGCCTATTTGTCTAAACCTGAACAAACAACATAAATCTTAACGATTCTAACTTTATAATAAGAATTTATATTTGGTAGGGCGTGTCCTCCATCCTTACTGTTCTTCTGCAGGAGTGTCTTGGCTTTTCTTGCTTTTCCATACACATTTTAAAATCACATTATCCAAGTCCACATTGAAAAAGATAAAACTTTCAATATTTCACAATTTATTTTGATACTATTTGATTTAGAAACCTGTTATGTGGTTAAGAATTTTTTTCTACCTGCTTTGCTAAAATTTTAATCATTATTATTGAATTTTATCAATTAATTTTTCTGGATCTACAAAATAATTGTTTTCTAATGCTGTGCCACCTTTCATTCCCCCTTTTTTTTAGAAAAAAAAAAAAGCTACTTAGTTTTGATACAATGTCTATACATTCTTAGATTTATTCTGCTAATACTTTAACTTTTTAAACCTAAGAAATAAGGCTATAATTATTTCTTACACCGTCTCAAAAAATAAGTTAGAGGGTAGACTTCCTTCTTCTGTCTTCTGAAATAATTTTATAAGATTGGAATTTTCAGTTCCTTAAAGTTTTCGTAAAAGATCCCAACAAAATTGTGTGGCAGTGGTGATACTTGAAGAGAAGATTACTGATTCAAATATTTAATGGATATGGACATTCAATTGTTCTATTTCTTTTCACTCTGTTTTGGTAATTTATGTTAGGAATTTAACATTTCACATGGTCTCAACTTTGGCAGCATAAAGATGTTCATAATGCCCTTTTCAAATCACTTTAAACTGCTGAACTTTTTCATTTTTGATTCATTCTTAATACTATTTATTTTGTCCTCTTTTGGGCTTTTGAACTCTCTTGCCAGTCTTTTTAATGAACCAGCTTTGATCTTTTTTAACACTCATTTTCTTCTTTTTGTATTATTTTATTAATTAGACCTTTATGTGTGTTATTTCCTTTCTCCTATTATCTTTGAACTTATTCTCAATCCTTTTCTAATTAAGACATTAGAACTTGATCAAATTTGGCTATTTTTCTATATCTCTCATGGTCATTGGGGATAGTATTCCCTATACATCTCTCCCACAAAAGTTGCCCACATTGGCAGGACGTGGTGGCTCATGCCTGTAATCCCCGCACTTTGGGAGCCCGAGGCGGGCAGATCACGAGGTCAGGAGATTGAGACCATCCTGGCTAACACGGTGAAACCCCTCGTCTCTACTAAAAGTACGAAAAATTAGCCTGGCGTGGTGGCGGGCGCCTGTAGTCCCAGCTACTTGGGAGGCTGAGGTGGGAGAATGGCATGAACCTGGGAGGCAGAGATTGCAGTGAGCCGAGATTGTGCCACTGCACTCCAGCCTGGGCGACAGAGCGAGACTCCGTCTCAAAAAAAAAAAAAAAAAAAAAAAAAAAAGTTGCCTACATTATGTTATTCAATTCCTCCTGGTCTGTAAATTCCTAGAGACATATATTCAAATCTGGTACACCTGCCTTTTTTTTTTTTTTTTTGTAGTTTTATCAATTTGGGCTTTACATATTTTGAAGCTGTAGTTTTAAGTACATAAAGTTTAGAACTTTTATATCTTGCTTAAGTGAAACTTTCGTCAGTATGTTTTGGCCCACTTTATATCTAAATTATCGTTTTTTGGCCCGCCCGGCATGGTGGCTCATGCCTGTAATCCCAGCACTTTGGGAGGCCAAGGTGGGTGGATCACCCAAGGTCAGGAGTTCGAGACCAACCTGGCCAACATGGTGAAACCCCATCTCTACTTAAAAAAAAAAATACACAAAAAATTAGCCGGGTGTGTTGGTAAGCACCTGTAATCCCAGCTACTCGGGAGGCTGAGGCACAAGAATAGCTTGAACCCGGGAGGCGGAGGTTGCAGTGAGTGGAGATTGCACCACTGTACTCCAGCCTGGGCAACAGAGTGAGACTGTCTCAAAAAGATAAAATAAAATAAAATTATTTTTATACTGCCTTAAGATCTATCTTATCTTATATAAATATACCTATCCCAGATTTTGTTGGTTAATGTTTGCCTGGTACTTTTTTTTCACTACTTAAGTTTCATGCTTTTTTTTTTTTTTTTTTTTTTTTGAGATGGAGTCTTGCTCTGTCACCCAGGCTGAAGTGCAGTGGCACAATCTTGGCTTACTGCAAGCTCCACCTCCCGGGTTCACACCATTCTCCTGCCTCAGCCTCCTGAGTAGCTGGGACTACAGGCGCCCGCCACCACGCCTGGCTAAGTTTTTGTATTTTTAGTAGAGATGGGGTTTCACCGTGTTAGCCAGGATGGTCTCGATCTCCTGACCTCGTGATCTGCCTGACTTGGCCTCCCAAAGTGGTGGGATTACAAGCGTGAGCCATCGCTCCCGGCCGCGTTCGTTTCTTTTAGGCTAAGATTTTTGTTTTTTAAAAAAATGTTCCTAGCTTCTAAACAAAAAGTTTAAGCTGTTTTGCTTTTTAACTGAAAACTTTCATTCATTTAATTAGTTGTGCTTTCTATTTACCACATTTTTTTCCACTCTCTTATTACCTACTTTAATGACTTTTATACTGATTTTTTTCCTCACTACAATTTTCCTTCTAATAACCTGAGGGCTAGATACACATTTTATCTTTTAGTAGTTCTTTAGACATTTTAATAAGCAAAGGTCAGGCACAGTGGCTCATGTTTGTAAATCCAGCACTTTGGGAGGCCAACATGGGAGGATCACTTGTGTCCAGGAGTTTGAGGCCAGGCTGGGCAACATGGCAAAACCACATCTGTACAAAAAGTACAGAAATTAGCCCAGTGTGATGGTGTGTGTCTGTAGTCCCAGCTATTTGGGAAGCTGAGGTGGGAGGATCGCTTGAGCCTGCGATGAGGAGGCTGCAATTACCTGTGGTCAGGCCACTGCACTGCATCCCAGGTGGCAGAGGGAGACCCTGTCTCAAAAAAGAAAAAAAAAAGAAATTTTAATAAATATACTTAAATTAAAACCTGAAGATAACCAATCTTTTAAAATTCTTTCCAAACTTTACAAGAAACTTGGAACGCTTTAACTCTAATTGTTTCCTCCAAATATTATTTTGGGGCAGTATTTCGGTTAATTATTCCCTCAAATTAGAATTCTACACACTTACCTTTTTTTTTTAATCTTAGACTTTCAAAATGGGATTGCTTTTCTTCCTGAAGGACTCATTTTAAAATTCTCTTTGGTAAGAGTGTTGGTAGTTAATTCTGTCAGCACATATTTATCATCAGTTTTCTTCATATTACTTCATTCTGAGTGGACAGTTTTCTGGATGCATAATTCCAAGAAGACAATTATTTTCAATATGCAGATACAATTCCACACTTTCCTCTACCTTCTATTACTATTATTGCAATGTCAGCTGTAATGTTTGTGTGTAATGTTTTTTCTTTGTGTGTAATGTTTTTTATTCACTGAGCAGCTTTTTAGATCTTTTCTATACTTTTGTCTTCTGCAGATTCATTATGAATCTTCAAGTTTGGGGTTTATTTTTATGTATCCTTTGAGACTTCTGTATCTTAATTAAAAGTTAAAAATTTTCCATCAGTTCTGCAAATTCTTTCCCATTATTTCTCTAAATAGTGCCTTTTTGACATTCTAACCTTGCCTTCTGAGGGTCCAGTTAGAAATATGTGAGGTTTTTTCTATTATTACATGTCTATCCACTTGTCTTCTTCTGTATTTTCTATCCTTTTGTCCTTCTGAATTATTTCTTCAGATATTCCAGTTCCCTCATACTCTCTTAGCCTCTGTATTGTTTGCTACTTAACAAATTCTTTAATTTTTTTTAAAATAGTGATTTTATTGTTAAATTTAGATTTTTCAAATCTGATTTGATAGTCTATTTTTCTACCAATCTTCAAATTCTTTAGACATATTAATCTAATTTTATGATTGCATAAATTTATTTTGTTAAATTTCTACTGGTTATTATTGCTATTATTTTTGTTGGTTCTCATTCACGGTGATTTATCTCCTTGTTTGTATGTGGAAGTTTTATTTTTTTGATTATGCACTCACTTCCCTTGTAACTTTATCTTTAGGAATTCTATGAAGCCTGAATTGAAAGTAATTTCTTATAAAGTGGATTTCTATTTACTTCCAGACCATTACAAATGAGGTACCATTTTAAAATAAATCCTTTACATGAGTTTTTTCTATTTGTTTGGTTATTGTTTCCACAGAGATGTTTTAACTTGGGTCCAAACAAGGCCAGATTGTATTATAAAATTGCAAAGATGTTTCCCACCCCTTTCTACCTACCACCAAAGTTTTGTATAAGAAATTTATCCTGTTTATGGAAGTTTATTTCTAGTTCACCCTTAAGCTAAAAGTGCAGCCTTTTAGGGTACCAGAGTCATGTAACAGTCTCCCAAAAGACCTTACATCTTATGTAGGCAGTAGATTTGTTTCAAGTCTTGTGTACCCTGCCGAGACATCAAAATCAAAGATCAGCTTCACTGTAGTCATGCAAAAGCCTCCTAGGCAAAACCCAACTTGATTACTAGCTTATCTATCTTCGCCTATTCCCACCTTCAGTTTATTGCTGGAGTCGGAGGAAGCCAAAATTTCTTGCTAGCTCTACTATGCAATTTTACAGTTTTATTTTATCTTTAAACATTTTTACGGGAGTGTGGTTCAGGGTATCTATTCTGCATATTATCAGAAGGGAAATGAAGATTATTTTTCCTTTTCATTGTTTTATCTTATAAGTCCCCCCATTGGTTTACCTGATATTGCTGGATGAATACTGAATGAATTTTGTGTGAAGAAGTAGATGACCCAATAATCACCTTCTCTATATCATCCCTTAACATCATGGGTTTGAGGGCTAATTGGCAAATATTTTAGGTTTTACAATTCATATGGTCTCTATCCCAGCTATTCAACTCTGCCTTTGTAATGCAAAAGCAGCCATATAAGATACCTAAATGAATGTGCATAGCTGTGTTCCAGACAAACAGGTAAAAATATTTTATTTACAAAAACAGGCAGTGAGTCAGATTTGGCCTATGGACTTCAGTTTGCCATCCCATGCTCTCTTTATACCATCATAGTTTTTTTACTGGATCCATTTAAGTGATGAACAGAATCATAATATGATGAAGACATTTTATGAATACATGCAACTGGTAAGACATGAAATGTTTAGGCCCCCAAAAAATAAAGAGAAAAAATTCAATCTATGCATTGTCTAAATAAGTAATGATAAACTCCCACTGCTACACGAACAACAGAAACAACAAAACTCTAATCAGAAGAATAATGTCTTGGGAAATAAAATAAGCATTATGAGCATGTCTCTGAAATACACAGACATACTGACTCTCTACACTGTACATCAGTTTTTAGGAAAACAAAGAAAGTAAGAGGACATATCCATCTCCCCAGCTGCCTCCCAAGGGCTCACAATCCAAGAAATTCTTCAGTAATATCTCATTAGTGATAAAGTTTGCATCAAAACTCACATGGTATCATACACATTGTATTACATTTTTCAAAGAACATAACACTGTGTATTGGAAAATAAGTGGAAATTACTTGGGATTGGCTATAATATATACCCTTGAACTGGGCAATACTTAAGTGATTGTCAGATGGCAAAATTGAGACTAAAAAGCTTACTCACTTGAAAATGACTCTTGTTGGTACTCCACAAAATAGAACTTTATAAATGTAGCGCTACGTATTTGTCTAAGAGGTAAGGCATCCCATGGAGCATGCTTTATTAGTTTGGTCATTAACCTTGCTCGGGCCTTTCAAAAATTTTAGTTATAAATTATAAAACATAAGGAAACATCTAAAGTTTATAATACAGAGTTTTACTTTACTATCAAAGACCATAAAAAATAGAAACTATTCATCTTCATGGAGGGCCAAAAATACCCAAATATGACAAAAATATCCAGAAGGATGTTACCTTCCCAGCTGATATTCTAAGAGAATAAATGCTTAAAGTATTGGCTATGGATAGCTGTTCTTTTTAGACATGTTGATCAACTTCTGTGTTGAAATCATATGACATTTGCTAGTTTGAAGAAAAAATAAGAACCACTATTCTAATACAGTAGTATTCAACTATATTTCAAAATAGTTCAACATTTTATATCAAATATATATACGTGTGTGTGTGTGTGTGTGTGTGTGCGTGTGTGCACCTAAACTGGGCAGAAATGAGATCAGCTTTTTTTGTTGAAGCCTGAACTGGCAGTTAAACACTACCCCAAATCGTGTTTTCTGCTTCTCTCCAAATGGAACTCCTGGCAATGCCTATGGCAGAAGATGAAACACAAAGATGAGAGGCACTATCCTTGTTTCTCTAGACTCAGATACCTACACAGCTATCATATACACCATTAACGTCAAATTATTAAAGGATCCTACCTTTCATAATAAAAGAGGAAAAATATATTTTCCTTCTACCCTTCTAGGTTCTCAGCTTGGGTCTTTCTGTAACCAAAGAAACATTAACATGAGAAAAGCATTTGCTTTACTTGATACTTACAAGATGTTTAATGTTTTTACTGTATTGCAATTTTACTATTTCATGTGTTTTACCTATTACTTTATTTATGGAGAAGTAAAAGTGTCAATACAAGAGTTTTCCACACTTTCTACTCAAGGAGGAGTCTATGAACCAGCACAGTGCTTTTTATCTGGAGACTTAATAGGAATGCAGAATCTCAGGTCCAGTCAAAACCCACAAATTCAAAATCTGTATTTTTTATTAAGAAGATCCAAGTGATTAAAACACACTGTCCTTGGTGATAGAGCATTGATACTCACTGTCTTTCCAATGCAAACACACATGCGACTAATAATACACTCAATGCCAGTAGAATAGAGTGGGAAGTGTTATGTGGTTTAGAAAAAGCCAAGCCAGGCATCCTGATATACCTTCTCACAAACGTATTGATTACTTTTCCTTTTCAATTCCTTCAAAACAAGGATCACCTTTCAATCCATAGCAGTTATCATGTTTTAAATTTACTAATTTAGTGAATGCTTGGGATTCACTCACCAGTGATTTTCTCACCAGATCAATAAACCTGTTCCTCTAAAATCAAAGCAGTATCTTCTAGAATAATTTGACCTTCTAAGATATGAATGTTGAGTAATAAAATTTCCTCACAAAACAAAACTCAAGTGAGTTACTAAAGTAGTATATTGTTACTTAGTCAAATCCAGAATAACTCGGTCACTATATATAAAAACATTAACATTAAAAATAATTATGCTAACCTAAGATCTTAATACAATTCAGTCCTTCCAGTGAGCCCAACTTGAATACTAAGAAGGAAGTCACTAGGAAGCTATATTCACAATATAATCTTCTAAAAGAATTCATTTTAATTAAAAACCAGGTGGTCCTGAGTTTTCCTCTAAGGCTCTATGTTAAAAAATCCCATTGATCATACATTCTATAATGAAAGATCCAACTATAAACCTGGAGGAAAATGGAATAGATGAATCAAAATATTCTCCTTCTAGTTAATATAATCTTGGTTTCCAGTAGGGGTTTATAATTATAACACTGAAAGTAGAAACCATGAAGCACAAAGCTGGTAAGTTTGTTAATTAAAGATTTTAAAAAATTTCTCTCTATAAAAAAATCTACATAATTCAAAGGCATATTTACCTAAATATAAATGTAACCTTTATAAATAATGAAAAGATTAATATATCAAAGGAAAAATTGGGAGAAGTGATATGATTAGGAATTTCACCAAAAAATGACCAAAAACCACAAAATAATGTTTGTCACTTTAATAATCAAAAAAAGCGAAGTAAAAAAGTAAGATATTGCCAATCATTTTTACTGACATAAAATTCTAACTATACTAGCCAGTGTTTACAAGAATTTGCGAGTGCTTACTCTGATGTATTACTGGTAGAAAGGTGAATAATTTAGCAATATGCAGCAAAAGTCTGAAACATTTGCACACTTTTTAAACAGCAAAACCAACCTTTCCAAATTTACCTTTAGAAATAATCTGATCAGTGTGATGATGTTCAATATGTAACTGTTAAAAAAGTGTAAGCAACATAAGTGCCCAGTAAGACAGCTCATTTGAATAAGCTACGGTACATCCATGCAGTGTAACAAGATGCAAAGATTTGAACGTAATGAACGTACAATGATATGAGAAGTTCAAAATACGTTAAACGGAAAAAACAAAAAAAAGTATACATTATGATCTCTTTTCAAAAAAAATGTGTAAATGGATGGATAGCTAAATGGATGAAGAGTGACATACAAAGTAAGTACATAGATGGACAGATCAAGCAATAGGTACAGATAGGATAGATAACACAGACTGGAAGGATATTCAACAAAATCTCAACAACTTCATTTAAATCATTGGTGTGTTTATGGGTACATATCTAATTCCTAGTTAAATTGAACTTTTTAATATGTTAAAAATTATCTTGTAACTTTTCTAATCTGTACTTGGTCCACTTTTCTATTAGGATTTTAGCATTCTAGGTGTCAACTTATATGAATTCTTTGACCATGAAGATGCAATGTCTCTGAAATAGTTGCTGCTAATAGTTTTTCTAGGTTATTTTCTCCAAGGATGTTTTTTCCATTCAAAAATTATTACATTTTTATGTAGTCAAACCTATGGTTTTCCCTTTTTAATTTTTTTATTTTTAATTTATGTGGGTATAGTTATATATATTTATAAGGTATATGAGATGTTTTGATATAAGCATGCAATGTGAAATAAGCACACCATGAAGAATGGAATATCCATCCCATCAAGCATTTATCCATTAAGTTACAAACAATCCAATTACACTCTTTAAGTTATTTTAAAATGTTCAGTTATTATTGACTACAGTTATCCTGTTGTGCTAGCAAATAGTAGGTCTTATTTATCCTATTTCTTTTTGTATCCATTAACCACCCCCACCTCTCCACTAATTCCCCACTACCCTTCACAGCCTCTGGTAAACATCCTTATATTCTCTATGTACACGAATTCAAATATTTTTGATTCTTAGATCCCACCAATAAGTTAAAATATGTGATGTTTGTCTTTCTGTGCCTGTCTTATTTCACTTAACATAATGACCTTCAGTTCCACCCATGTTGTGGTAAATGACTGAATCTCATTCTTTTTTATGTCTAAATAGTACTCCATTGTGTATAAGTACCACATTTACTTTATCCTTTCATCTGTTGATGGACACTTAGGTTGCTCCCAAATCTTAGCTATTGTAAACAATGCTGCAACAAACATAGGAGTGCAGATACCTCTTCAATATACAGATTGCTTTTCTTTGAGATATATATGCAGCAGGAGAATTGCTAGATGGTATGGTAGCTTAATTTTTAGTTTTTTGAGGAACCTCTAAACTGTTCACCATAGTGGTTGTACTAACTTACATTCCCGCTAACAGTGTACAAGGTTCCCTTTTCTCCACATCCTTGCTGGCATTTGTTATTGCCTGTCTTTTGGATATAAGCCATTTTAACTGGGGCGAGATGATATCTCATTATAGTTTTGATGTGCATTTCTCTGATAATCAATGATGTTGAGCACCTTTCATATGCCTGTTTGTCATTTGCATGTCTTCTTTTGGGAAATGTCTATTCAAATATTTTGCCCATCTTTTGACCAGATTATTAGATTTTTTTCATATAGAATTGTTTGAGCTCCTTATATATTCTGGTTATATATCCCTTGTCAGAGGGGTAGTTTGCAAACATTTTCTCCCATTCTGTGAGTTGTGTCTTCACTTCGTTGATTGTATCCTTTGCTGTGCAGAGACTTTTGAACTTGATGTAATACCATTTGTCCCCTTTTGCTTTGGTTGCCTGTGCTTGTCGGGTACTATTCAGTAAATCTTTGCCCACACCAATGTCCTGGAGATTTTCCCCAGTGTTTTCTCATAGTTGTTTCATGGTTTGAGGTCTTACACTTAAGACTTCAATTCATTTTGATTTTTGTATATGGCAAGAGAGAGTAGGGGTCTAGTTTCATTGTTCTATATATGGACATCCACTTTTTCCAGCACCATTTATTAAAGAGACTGTCTTTTCCTTTCCCCAGTATATGTTCTTGGCACCTTTGTCAAAAATGAGTTCACTGTAGGTGTCTGGGTTTGTTTCTGGGTTTTCTATTCTGTTCTATTAGTCTATGTGTGTTTTTATGCCAACACCATATTGTTAGCATGTAAAAACGCTGCTCATTTTTTATGTTAATTTTGTATACTACAACTTTAGTGAATTTGTTTATTGTTCTAAAAGTTTCCAAATATAAGATTATATCATCTGCAAACAAGCATAATTTGACTTCTTTTCCATTCGGACACCCTTTATACTATTCTCCTGCCTAACTTCTCTAACTAGGACTTCCAGTACTATGTTAAGTAACAATGGTGACAGTGGGTATCTTCATCATGTTCCAGGTCTTAAAGGAAAAGCTTTTAATATTTCCCCAGTATGACACAAGCTGTGGGTCTGTTACATATGACTTTCATATGGTGAGGTATGTTCCTTCTATCCCCAGTTTTTTGAGGGTTTTTAACATTAATGGATTAATTTTATCAAATCCATTTGCAGCGTCAATTGAAATGATCATGTGATTTTTATCTTTCATGTTGATACAATGTATTACACTGATTGATTTGCACAAGTTAAACCATCCTTGCATTTCAGGGATAAATCCCACTTGGTCATGATAAATGATCTTTCTAATGTATTGTTGAATTTGGCTTGCTAGTATTTTGTGGAGAATTTTTGCATCAATATTCAAAGATACTGGTCTGTAGTTTTCTTTGTTTGACGTGTCTTTGCCTGGTTTTGATGTCAGGGTAATACTGGCCTTGTAAAATGCGTTTGGAAGGATTCCCTCCTCCCCTATTTTTTTCAGGATAGTTTGAGTAGAATAGGTATTAATTCTTTAAATGTTTGGTGGAATTCAGCAGTAAGGCCATCAGGTCCCAGGCTTTTCTTTAGTGCGGGACTTTTTATTATGGCATTGATCTCATTACTTGTTATTTGTCTGTTCAGGCTTTGGATTTCTTCCTGGTTCAATCCTTGCAGGTTTTATGTATCTAAAGGTATGCCTGCTTCTTGCAGATTTCCAACTTATTGGTATATACTTGCTGACAGTATTCACTAATGATCCTTTGAATTTCTGCACTATCAGCTGTAATGTCTTCTTTTACATTTCTAATTTATTTATTTTTCTTAGTCTGGCTAAAGATTTGTCAATTTTGTTTAACTTTGCAAAATACCAACATTTTGTTTCATTGATCTCTTGTTTCTTATTTCAATTTCATTTATTTGTGTTTTGATATGTATCATATCTTTTCTACTAATTTTAAATTTGGTTTGCTCTTGCTTTTCTAGTTCTGTAAGATACATCATTATATTTTTTATTTGAAGGTTTTTCTCTTTTTTGATGTAGGCACTTATAGCCATCAACTTCTCTCTTAATACTGCTTTTCCTGCATCTAATAGGTTTTGGTATGCTGTTTCCATTATCATTTGTTTCCAGAATTTTTTCAATTGCACTCTTAATTTCTTAATTGACTCAATGGTCATTCAGGAGCATACTGTTTAATTTTCATGTAATTGTGTAGTTTCCAAAATTCTTCTTGTTATTAATTCCTGGTCTTATTTCATTGTATTCACAGAAGATGCTTAATATTATTTCAATACTTTTGAATGTTTAAGACTTGTTTTGTGACTTAACATATGGTCTATCCTTGAGAATAATCCATGTGCTAAGGAAAAGAATGTGTATTTGTGTATTCTGCAGCTCTTGGATAAGAAAATGTTCTGTAAATATCTTATTAGGTCCATTTAGCCTACAGTGCAGAATAAGGCTGATGTTTCTTTGTTGATTTTCCATTCGGAAGATCTGTCTAATGCTGAAAGTGGGGTGTTGAAGTCTCCATCTGTTACTGTATTGGGGTCTACATCTCTCTTTAGCTTTAATATTTTCTTGATAAATCTGGGTGCTCCAGGGTTGGGTACATACATATTTAAAATTGTTATATCCTGTTGCTAAATTGACACCTGTATCATATTATAATAGTGACCTTCTTTGTCTCTTCTTATAGTTTAGGTCTGGAAATCTATTTTGTCTGACATAGTGATTCCTCCTTTTTTTGGTTTCAATTGGCATGGAATGGCTTTTTTTATCTCTATATCTTTAGTCTACATGTGTCTTTATGGTGAAGAGTGTTTCTTGTAGCAAACAATCAGTCTGGTTTTTTCATCCATTCATCCAGTCTGTGTCTTTTGATTGGACAGTTTCGTCCATTTTCATTCAATGTTTTTATTTATAAGAACTTACTCCCACCATTTTGTTATTTGTCTTCTAGTTGTTTTGTGATCTCCTCTTCTTTCATTCTCATCTTCCCCCAGAGATATTTCATTTCTTGCTTTTTTATTGTGTATCCATTGTATGTTTTTTGATTTGAGGTTTCCATGAGCTTTGCAAATACTCTCTTATAACCCATTATTTTAACCTGATAGCAACTTAACACTATTTGCGTGAACAAACAAGCAAAAAGAAAACTAATAAAAGCCCACCTTAACTTCATTTTCTTGCTTTCTAACTTTTTGTTGTTTCTATTTACATCTTATTTTACTATGTCTTGAAAAATTGTTATTTTTTACTAGATCATTTAGTCTTCCTACTTAGCATAAGAGTAGTTTACACATCACATTACAGTGCTATAATATTCTATGATATTCTGTGTACTTATTGTTACCAGTAAGTTTTATACCTTCAGGTGATTTATTGCTCATTAATATTCTTTCCTTTCTGATTGAAAGAAAAGCATTTCCTCTTTAGCATTTCTTGACGGATGGGTCTGGCATTGATGAAATCCCTCAGCTTTTGATTGTCTGAAAAAGTCTTTATTTCTCCTTGATGTTTGGAGGATATATTCCCCAGATATACTATCATAGAGTAAACGTTTTCTTTTCTTCAGCATGTTAAATAAGGCATGCCACTCTCTCCTGGCCTGTAAGATTTTCACTGAAGAGTCTGCTGTGAGATGTACTGGAGCTCCATTGCATGTTATTTGTATCTTTTCTCTTGCTTCTTTTACAATCCTTTCTTTATCCTTAACCTTTTGGAGTTTAACTATCAAATGCCTTCACTTAGTTTTCTTTGGGTTAAACCTGCTTGGTGTTCTATAACCTTCCTATACTTGGGTATTTATATCTTTCTGTAGGTTTGAGAAGTTCTCTGTTATTATCCCTATTTCTTGAATAAACTTTCTACCCCTATCTCTTTCTTTATCTCTTCTCTAAGGCCAATAACTCTTAGATTTGCCCTTTTGAGTCTATTTTCTAGATCCTGTAGGCATGCTTTGTTCTTTTTTGTCTCCTCTGTGTATTTTCAAATAGCCTGTCTTTAAGCTCACTAATCCTTTCTTCTGCTTGATCCATTCCAGTATTAAAGGACTCTGATGCATTCTTCAGTACGCCAATCGCATTTTTCAGGTCCAGAATTACTGCTGGATTCTTTTCAATTATTTCAATCTCTTTGTTAAATTTATCTGTTAGAATTCTGAATTATTTCTGTTATCTTGAATTTCTTTGAGTTTCCTCAACACAGCTATTTTGTCTGAAAAGTCACACATCTATTTCTCCAGGATTGGTCCCTGGTGCCTTATTTAGTTCATTTGGTGAGGTCACGTCTTCCTGGATAATGCTGGCACTAGTAGATGTTCTTCACTGTCTGAGCATTGAAGAGGTAGGTATTCATTATAGTCTTCACTGTCTGGCCTTATCTGTATCCATTCTTCTTGGGAAAGCTTTCCAGATATTTGAAATGACTTGGGTGTTGTGATTTAAGCTATTTCTGCATTAGGGGGCACCCAAAGCCCAGTCACACTGTGTTCTTGCAGACTCACAGAGGCACCATCTGGAGAGGACAGTCTTGGACAAGATCGAGGAGAATTTTCTGGATTACCAGGTAAAGACTCTTGTTCTCTTCCCTTACTTTCTCCCACACATATAGAGTCTCTCTCTGTTTTGAGTCACCTAAAGCTGGGGGTGGAGTAAACAAGTACCCTTGTGGTCACCACCACTATGACTGCACTGGTTCGGACCTGAAGACAACACAGTGTTGGGTCTCACACATGGCCTGCTGTCACCACTTCCTGGCTACTGCCTATGTTCACTCAAGGCCCTGGGGCTCTTCAATCACCATGTGGCAAAGACAGCCAGGCCTATGTTCTCTCTTTAAGGACAGCAAGGTCCCAAGACCTCAGGTGGGTTCAGAAGTGCCTTCTGGGAGTCAGAGACTAGAGTCAAAAGCCTTAGAAGTTTACCTTGTGTTCTATTATATCGTGGCTAAGCTGGCAAAACACAACACACGGCTCTTCCCACTATTCCCTCCCTTTTCCAAAGGCAGTGGAGCCTCACCTCGTAGCTGCTGACACTCTTGGACATTAGGAGCACTGCCAGACTACTTCCAATGTTCCCTTAAGGGCCAACGTCTCTTAAGTCAGCTTGCAGTAAACGCTGCCTGGCCTGAGATGCTCTCTTTAGTGCAGTGGGCTCCCCTCTGCTCTGGGGGGGTTCAGAAATGCCATCCAAGAGTCAAATCCTTGGATGGGGACCCTGAGTTCTTGGAATCAGGGACCCCAAGAACCTGCTTGGTGCTCTACCCTCCCGTGGCAGTGTTGGTATCTGAAACCAGGAAGTCTCAGAAGCTCACCAAGGCCCTCAATGTAGTGCCTGGGTATCACTGCTGTTTATTCAGGTCCTAAGAACTCTTCAGTTAGCAGATGATGAATGCTGCCAGGTCTGGATCCTTTCCTTCAAGGCAGTAGGTTCCGTTCTGGCCCAGGGTGTGTCTAGAAATGTCATCTGGGAGCTGTAACAGAGGCCTCATGACGCTGACTGATGCCTGATCCTGATATGCCTGAGCTGATATCCAAGATGCAAGACAAGGTCCTCTCCACTCTTTCCTCTCCTCTCTTCGGGTAGATGGGAAGGGTCTCTTTTGGAGCCTTGAGCTGTGCATCCTGGATTTAAAGGAAGGGTGATGCCAGCACTCCCTTGGCTGTCCCAGGTGGTGTCTCAGTATGTCACATGCCCCACCCAGTCCACTGTCACCGGGCCTAGTTCAGCACTGGGACTCTCCCAGGAGTCACAGTTTTTATGGCCTAGACTGCCTTTCAAGTTTAAATGTTCCCTCTGTGAGTGGGCATCAGCTGAGTTTTGTTCAGGTTTTCTTCCAGCTCTAACAAGACAGCACTGAGTTCAATGCCTCATAATTGCTGTTTTCTACCACCTTCAGTGCCCAGAGACACTCTCCACACCACACCACCGCTGCCAGGCATTGGGAAGGGGTGGAAGTGGAGTGGTGTCTGTGGCGATTCGGGACTGTTTTTCTAATCTTTTCAGTGCCCTTTTCAGCAATATGAAGTTAAAAACAGGTACTGTGAGTGCTCATCTGATTTTCAGTTCCTATGAAGTTGTTTTTTTCTATGTAGATAGTTGTTAACTTCATGTCCTTGCAGAGGGAGGAGGTGGCAATCAGTGATGGGTGGGACCTTCTATTCTGCCATCTTGCTCTGCCTCCTCCCTCTGTTGATTTTTAATTTTATGCTTAGTTATTTATTATTACTAAATCAGACAGTCAATTCTATTTTTTATAGTTTTCAGAGATCTTATACTTTTATATCTTTAAATATCTGGAATATATATTAGTATATGATATACAGTAAAACTAGAACAAACCTAATTTAAATTTTTCCACATTTGTTAACCAATTGTCCCTGGGCTACTTAATAGTCCATCATTCCTCCACTTAATTATAATACCAACTCAAAATTTTACATATTTGAAGCTATCTTGATTTTGCTTCTTTTCCATTACTCTTTTGTCAAAATCACACTGCCTTAATTATTGTAGTGTAGGAGAAATTGTCTTTCTTTCCCATCACTAGATTTATGACTCATGACTGAGGCCCCTACAACAAAAGACAGATTAATAAAGAAAAGTATACATATTTATGTAAGTTATGTGACAGAAGCCTTCAGAAACGGAGAACCGAAAAACACAGGTAAACTTGTTTATTTTTATGCTTAGGTTTGATCAAGAGTGGTAAGTAATGGAGAAGTATGATTGGATAAAGAGAATATGAGCGAATAATAATAAACTGGAAGGGACCTCAGCAAGGCCTGTTTGTTCAGATTCTTCTCTGTGTCCTTTGTCTTCAGAGATAAGGACATTCCTTTCCTCCTGGTGTAGGGAGAGTACCTCTCAAATGAGGGTCCTAAGGCCTACTTCAAGGGAAGATCACAAAATTATTTATGGCCTGCTTCAGTAGAGAAGTGCAGGGGGTGGTCAGAGAGATCTTTCTGCTTCTGCTGTTTTCTCAAATGCCAAGGTGCCATATTCTGGGATAGCATGTATTGAAATCCCATCAGTAGTTTTACAACTTACCAAATGATTGTATTAGCTATTTCCCCCAGTTCCTTCTGAGAAGTAAACATTAGATTTAGATTTACTGTGCCAAATTTTTCTAAATAACATTTAAAAAATTTAATTATATCAATTCTGTGAATTAATATGTTAAGAACAGCCATCTTTGAGTACATTTAGTCTTCACTTGATAAAAATTGTCTCAGGTCTCAGCAAACTTTTATCATTTTCATTATATAGTGCCCAAATGGTTTTTCTTCCTGATGTTATATCAAGGTATTTTGCATTTTCATTGTATCTCAAACAGGAATTTTTGTTATATATTTTTCTAAGTTAGAAAGTATGAAAGCAACTCAGCCAAAGAAATTGTTCTAAGAAACCTATTTTAAAATCAATTCTGACACAAAATTCATAAGCAATAAACAAACTATAAACTTTTCACAAGTACAATGAGTAAGTAATAGAGAGCAGACAATGGAAATAACCAAATAAGGAAAAGTACTGTGTAACAAACATATGCATTCCGTAAAAGAGGTAAATTAAATTCTGTCATAGTTTTCCTCTCCTTAAGAGATAATCCAAATGAAATTCAAAATCTATTTTATCAAAAATCAGACAGCACATATATTCAAATTCCCAGAGAAAAATTTAGACTTCAAATTGGATGGTAAGCCATAATGCTCTAGTTTATAATAATCACATTTATAAAGAACAATGTATTAAAATAATCAATTTTCTGGATCACACACTATTAGGAATAACTCTCCTGGCCAGGGAATGGGTTAGTTAGGGGGAAGGCAGGAATGCCCTCCCTCTGTGTAGTATGAATGAGAGCACTATCTCCTAAGGAGAGAGCTTAATTCTCTGGAATTCAGCCCTACTATATAACAGATGTGGGGGTTCCTATGATGCAAATTGCCAGGGAGGATTTAGGCTGGACTAAGAAGACATTCATTATAGAAGAGTCAGATACAATACTTCTTCGGGGATTTGTGAGTAAGCAAATATGCAGAATTACCCGTGGTTGCTGCAATTTTGACCTTAGAAAAATCCACAGTGTGTGTTTCCTAGAAAACAGCCTGGCTTTTCAGAAATCAAAACAGAAATCTAGTGTAAAGATGTGTGCATTTGGTCATTCGTTAAATATACTTACTGATGACCTAAAAGGTTATTTGGAATAATTTCAATCAATCCTGAACCAAAATACAGAAGGATGTAAAGGAATAAATAGCTCAGGTTTGAGAAAGTATTTAATAACTAGAGCAAATGTTGTAAAACTTTAATTTTGAATTCTTTCTGATACAGGTTTATCATTCAATTTTTTTTTCCACATATCAGAAAAGATTCCAGTTGCTCATGCCTTAACAGTATTCTAAATTGAAATAAAATTTAAAAATCTGGGTTAATACTATTAACTGAACATAGAAATAAAATGAAATAATTTCCAGATATTCATTCTTTAGCTTCATCATTCAATATATTATGTGCAAATACTCCCAATGTCTTTATTCACTAATAATACCAGATTTAAAAATCAAAAATACAAAATTTGTTTTTATGAGAAAATGTAACATGAAAAACTGCCTTCCATTCAACATAAAACCCTTTCATGAACTAAGAGTGAACTGCCCAAGAAGTTGAATCAACTTGTTGTTTTAATAACAACTACACTTCATAGTAGTATCATATTGTTTACTTATAAAATCTGACAAAGCTAAAAGTTTGTATGAAACTCTGATTTGTCTTTACACATAGAACTTGACAAAGTAATTCATGAAAAAATGAATATATATTACCTAGTTTAAAGAACAGTTTACAACCATTTTTCTGAAGTAAGGGTTGACTTGCAAGGTATAGTTATTTGAGAAAAGAGAGTTTATGGCTACACAACTCAGTATTATTTACTTTTGACTTCTGTATTAACTCTTTCATGAAAAAATATGACTTAACCAAGTAATTATTATGAAGTAGCAACAGAGCCTTAGTGAGAAAAATCAGAGCTCCAGTATATATTGAAATGAAATATTCTTAGAAAAGAATAGAGCGATAGAGATGATGATGATGATTCTCATTTACACTGGATTTTTAAAGAAGGACTTCAACAAAGTGACTATGTGTCTTTTTTAACATCCAGGGAACAAAGCCAGAGATCTGAGAACAGTTAGTGCTATAAAAAAAGGTTAAAAAATCACCAATTCTGACAAATGTAAGTAGGTATTGGATTAAATAAAAGTAGCTTCTTTAATAGACAATGGTACACTGTTCTCTAAGCTATCTAATGAGACAAAGAATAAAAACGAGCCATTTTAGGAAATGACAGGGCTGAGTCGTATAGTGATCCTTCAGTTGTTGAAAAGATATAAAAATGTATTGGAAAAAACTAGTTCCTGCACTATATCAGGTTGGTAATATTTTTGAAATAAGCAATTCCATTTGTAAGTTCTATGATAGTTGATGGATACCAATAAAACCCAGTGTTTTAAGTCAGATAAAATCTCTTTCAAATATTATATCTCTAGCTCTCAGAAAGAAATGGCAAAAATCATTTATTAACATGCTCATGCCAGACCCACTCTGATCTACTTATTTGTTCACATTTGGATTTTAGTTACCTTATGTTATCAGGCACTAAAAGAAACCAAGAAATGATAATATATTTATAGGCTTCAATCTTCAAAATAAAAATGTTAGATGACATATAACATATGAAAAAATAAAAGCATGATGCAATCCAGTAGATATAGTAATAATTATAAACTTGGTAAAAAAAACAGAAGTGAATAATTGCAATTGGAAAAAAATGTTAAAAAATATATACTCACTCACTTCTTTAGCTAAAATTAAAAAGACTAACAACATCAAGTGTTGGTGAGGATGTAAAATTACTGGAACTGCCATACATTGCTGGTGGGAATGTGAAATATTACAGCCACTCTGGAGAACAGTCTAACATATCAACACATGTGTACCAGCAACTCCATGCCCAGATATTTACTCAAGAGAAATTAAAACTTATGTTCACACAACAACTCAGCAGGCAAATGCTTACAGCAGCTTCATTCATAATCACCAAAAACTGAAACAACTAAAAAAGTCACCAAATGCTAAATGAATAAATTGTGGTGTATCCATACCACAGAATACTATTCAGCAACAGCAAGAAAAAATACAGTGACACATGCCACAGCATGAGTGAAATTCAAAAGTCTTATGCTAAGTGAAAGAAGCTAGACACAAAAGGGCACATGCTGTGTGATTTCACTGACATGAAATTCTACAAAAGGCAGAACTATAGTGAAAGAAAGATCACTGGTTGCCAGGGTCAGTGAGTATACGTAGGAAATTGATGTCAAAGGAGATATGGGAGACATTTTCAGGCTGATGCAAACGTTTGATGACTGCACTGATAGTTATAGGGCTGTATACATTTTTCAAATCTCATTGAATTATGTATTCAATATTGGGAAATTTTATTGTATGTTAACAATATCTCAATAAAGCTTATTTTTTAAAGTATACAAAAAACAGAAAGTTTATATATAGAATTTCTAATCGTTTCTGCTTTAAAAATAAGGTAACAAAACACTTAAGGAAACAAATGTGATTAACTTATTACAAGAGAAAAATATGAGGTAATAACAAATCGCATAAGTATTAATAGAATCAATAAGTCTATGCAGTGTTATAACAAAGATACTGTTATTAAGAGTTGTAAGAAAAATAATGTCACAATGCTGTGTAATGGAAAAAGCCGTTTTCGGCTTGGATCCCATTCATCAAGTTACTCTTGTTATTTCTGTATCACAGGAAGCAAATTATAAACATCATGACTGGATGGCAGAGAATTCTGATAGAGGCAGAAAAAAATAGATGGAGGACAGAACACTCAGGTAAGAGAAAAAGAGCTACACAGTGAAGAAGGAGAAATCATTAATCAGTTTACAGCCTGTATTTTGGGGAGTCATTGAAAGAGGTACATATGTGTGGAAATTCATTAAAAGAAAAGTTACCTGAAATTAATTTTAATGAAATAAAATGGAAAGAGGAAAATTTTTTTAAATGTATGTTTTAAAAAATTACAATAAATGTTCTGAAAAATAAGAAGCAATATATTAGCCTAAGCCAGCAAGGAACAAGGGTAATATGGGACATGCAACCAGACTGATTAAGCTTGCCCACAAGCTTCTTACTGTATAAGAGACACCAGTTTTCAACTTTTATCCTTTTCCTTAAATTATTTATGCTTAAGCAAATATATGATAAAATGCATGCAGTACTCACCGAACCATGTGTGTGTTCAATTACTCTCAAGCAACTCTTTTGTTATCAAATGTAGATTACTAGACTACATAGACTACATCATGGCAAGGAGTAGGAAAATCAAAGAATTCTCTCTAAGCTTAAAAAACCAGTAACATGGGTCGAATATCACAGAGGTTGATGAGTAAGAAAAAAATTGAATTGATGAGGAAGACTTTATAATAAACAATATACATACACACGCACACACACACAACGACATAAACACTTGTGCACCCATGTGTATGTGTGTGTATAGATGTGTAAAATGCACTGTTTCCTTAAATTAGGAAATTCTTTTTTAATTCTGAAAACAGTATATAAACCAAAAGGTGCAGCGCCAATAATTTTATGAACTTCCTATATTGTTTAGTTTTTAATGTTTTATAATTTATTAAATGACTTGTTATAATAGACTCAGTATTAGTATATTTCATTGATAGTGTGTAGGAACTTACTCAATTCTCAAAAAATGATGTTAATATTGTTCATGTAAAGTTCAAAATACAAATTTGGTAAAACATTAACATTAAAATAAATGATTAGCTAATAGATCAGAAAAGACACACCGATTGAAAGGAATACAATTGAAGAAGCTCATAATGGCAAGTTGCGTTGGGATAGAAATGTATCTATATAGGACAAAGAAAAATACCCAATTTCTATACCTACCCAAATCAGAAATGATGAACTAATGATGGAAAATCCTTAAAAACAATTATTCTTAAGAAAACACGTTCCAAGATCATCTGCTTTATGAAGTAATGGGAAATAAATGTTTTCATCATTCAAAAGGTATGCAAGACACATTTTACTCTTAAATAGGTAAAGCACATGTTTAAATTATTTATTAGAATAAAACCTAGTTCCATCTAGATTATAAGGCAATAACTCAATTTTAATGATATGAAATTAATAGATAGCTTTTTCTGGAACTGAAGGAATAGTAAATCCTTGCTACAAATGACTGAAATACAGAAACAAACAGCTTAATCTTTTTGGGTTGTAGAAATAAAACCCAAATTATGGCTGAATAACAGAAGTATATTCTATAGAAATCTGTGCTCTGCACAGTGAAAAAACTTAATGGTGGACATGTAAGTAAAAAGGTTTAAGCTCTGACAAATAGCCAATGCCAAGAAAGCATTACTTAACTTTCAAAAGAATAATCATTAGCAGAATGAAACACTCTACTTCCAAAGAGAAAAACTCATGGCAAAGCCACCAAAGTAGCCTTCTAACCTAAACCATCCATCAGCCAGGAACCATGGACAACATAAAAATGTCGTATTTCATCAGCTCTGCATTCAAGTGCATGATGTTGATCCAGGCTGAGAATTAAGTGAAAAATGATTTGCACCAAAACCAAAATGTTTCTCATCCATCCTATTTTGGATTTGACAACTCATGGCTCTTTCCCAATTTTCCCAGCTTTTCACCTCTACATCTAGGGTTCCTCCAAACAAGATATTTATAAAACCATAATCTACAGACTATAAGATAACCATCTGTTTTCTTTCCTTTACCAACAGCAGCAATATTCATTCTCTTCTCTCTCACATTTCAGAATAGATGCTCTTCATATCAGACACCACTCATTTTTATAGTATTGTCCAAAGGGTTGACAGCATTGTTTTATAACTACACCCACCTTTCTCCCTACTTTTTTATAGAATTTGGAAGGGAAAATAATAGGAAGAAAAATAGAAAATGCTTTGCTCCACAACTGCAAACTTAATTCCTACACCTATGAATTCCCAACTTCTTCTGCTCACATACATTTGTTCTACCTCTACAATCATCAATCTTGCTAATGCAACAGCGAGCATACTCGGCCTTCTTCTAAAAGCAACAAGAAGATTGCCCTTTTTCAAAAATTATTCTGTACTGTTCTGTGGCCACAGTAGCACTTTTCACAGTTGGGATTATTCTCCACATTGTTGTATCCAGTCAAAGCCACTCAAGAATTCCTATGGTCCCAGCAGCACTAAAAATACATAACAGCCTCCTTACAATAATGACTGTGAATCACAGCATTCCTCGGCTGACATAAGTAGTTAAAATAGTTGAAAAAAAAAAAAGTTAAATAAAACTTTTTTAAAAGTTCAAGTAAAAAAAAATGAAAAGGGGGTTGAAAAGGACTCCCCTACCGTCTAACAATATTAAAGTCTGTCTCAAATTTACAAACGTCCTCAGCAACATCAAATGCCGCAGCTTCAAACACAGGCGCCAGCTTCAAGCCCGACAGCTTCAAATGCCGCAGCTTCAAACACGCGCGGCAGCTTCAAACGCGCCAGCTTCAAACAGCCTTGGGGCAGCCATCTTGCACACGCTCCAAGGAGCACAACCTCAGGGCCCTTAGGCGGCCACCCCATCCCAGAGGCCACACAGAGGCTTTGTTGGGGAAAAAAATGGGAAGAAGGAAAAAAAAAAAGAAGAACAAGAAATATAATTTGCAGACGTTAAATTAGCCCATAGAGGGAGCTCATATAGCCCCATAATTTCACAGTAATTGGAATCTCCTGTAATTTAAAATGTAGCCCCATCATTTGTTAGAGAGAGCTTCCAGAGGTCAAAGAGAGCATGTCTTACTTCATACCGATCTCTGCATGCCTATAAAATGCAATTCCATTTAGACCCCCTTGACCGTGTGTTTTGTTATCGCAACAAAAAGATGATGATTCTTGGCTACATGTTCTCCAAAACCAGCCCAGAAATTAAAGTGACTCGTCTATGTGTGCTGTTAGGGTGAATCCAACTGAATAAAGACCATAATAAGAATAAAGTTCCAACAATTAGAATTGTCATGGCAATAACCTAAATGTCCCCCATTCACGGCGTTCGTTTTAGAAAGCTATGAGCTCTCTTTCAACCTTGACTAGAGATACTCTCGTGGCTATCCATTTCTCTCGCTGTCTAGAGTCCTTAAACCAGGGATGCTGCATGTGCCTTCAGACAAAAGAATAAAACCGGAAAACGAAATGATATAATGGCAGAGAGCCTTTTCAATAAAACATGAGAGGAACAAAATTTTTAATTCTGTGGAAAGATTGAGGAGAAAGTACACTCAAAAATAAAAGAAACATCTAAATGTGCAGCTGAAAGTGGAGATCTATTGTCTGCTCTTGTGAAACAAATTTTGAAAGGAAACAATAGTTTATATTTATATAATTCTTAAATATTCAGAAAGTTTAAATTTATGTAAAAGTGAAATGGTTTTCTAAAAAACATTTAACCTTTAAAATAACATTATTTCTATCTTAAACGCAAAGAATGAGGAGAAAGCTCAATATGTAGGGCTTAATCAAAAACTTAATATATGTGAATTTTATTCTTTTTGAGATAATCTATTAGGTGCTAGGAAAAACATATCCATTTCAATTTAATGATTAAATGGTATGTTTATATCTTATTATTGTTTCTTTGTAATATACCTACTTGGTTTTGGAGCTATGATTACCTTTCCTTTGTGGAGACTCATTTGCCTGAAGGTGTGGGGCAGAGCTCAATTTAAAACCCACATTCATCACATCTGGGCAAGTTTCTATGTCAGGAATAAAAAGTATCTGAAAATTTTCAGAATTTGCCTCCCTACTCAGTAGAGAGTATTCCCTGCCTTATTTATTTCCTATCTTAAAAGTGCCTTTATTTTCAATGTGTTGATAGTTTCCTGATTGCCATCTCTCGTTTCCAAATCAACCAGAAAAAATCAACAACACTGTAGATATGATTAATCAATAACAATGCCATACAAGCTCAGATTCTCCTGCGCATTTAAAGCAAGATAATCTTGGGGAGGCTTTTCCTGCTTTGGCAAGTATCTGGGCCACCAGGAAATTCGTGTTGAACATGGTGGGTGACAGAAGATGCAAAGAAGAATGGTTAAGGTTTAAGGTCTCAAAACCATGTGAGCTGTTACAAATTGTGAAATCATTCACCAGTGATGGCTTATACTTGCCATGGATCTATGAAGTCTTGTCAATTGTACATGTTCATGTTCATAAATGATATAAATGATGCCAGATGACTATCAAATACAAGCATCTATGTTCAAGTGTTTAGTGCTATGTATTATAGAAGACAATAATTGATAAGTTATCTGGAAGTCACTAATGATCATGAGCAGGAACAAAGAAAGTAATATTTGTTACACAGGATACGTCGATAGTTTCTGTTACTTGGCATTAAGAAAGTTAGCAATCAAGGGTCTTCTACTGAGAAGAAAAACAAATTATGAAAACATGAGTGTAGCCTCTGTTTCTCACTTCTTATATTAGAAGAAATTGCAGGTTACAATGTCTTACTCTACTATAAGCCTGAATATCACCTGACACACATTCCAAAACTGAACAATATTTTATGAGAAATAGGACAAATGAAGCCTGTTGAAAGACAATAATCCTCCTCCTTCTCCACCCTTAAAATTAAGAAATACAGTAAAATTGTAAAAATGAGAAAAGGTAACACCTCTTTTATTTTAAGCTCTAACCAAGCTTGTTATCATGATGGTAGAAGATACACATCCTACAGGTGGCTATTGACCTTTCACCTTAATAGAATAAATAAGATGTTATTTCTCACACTTTTTAATAACAAAAATAGAAAATAAAGGTAAAACTCTATCTGGAATGGCTTCACACATAGATGATTAGCTCGCTTTAAAGTTTAAACAAGAACTATTTTTGATAGCTCAGTTTCCTCACTTAAAATCTTTTAAGAATACAGCAGTTCCTATTACCTATAGCATTTCTGACCATTTTGAGATCCTGAGCCCACCTGATCATCAATATGATTATGATTATAGAAAATTACTCCACATGTAGATGAAAAGAAGATTACACTGAATGTATCTCATTCTATAAAACTTATTTTTCATTAATCTTTGTGGTTCCTGCCATTTGTTTAGCCTTAAGTTCAAAACATCCATGTGATTCATGAGTTTTGGTTTGTTCATGTATACATAAAAGCATGCTCTGAGAAAGATTAAGAAAAATTACCACACGGTATTCCTGTAAGAATGTGGTAAGTCAGGTTCCCACATGCTATCTGCTCAGAAGCCTAATTAGCTTCCTGATCACCCAATTTCTAGAATTGAGAAGGTAGGGTTCAAAATTTTTACAAAGAAACAGGAAATCAATGCAAAAATAGCCTTAGTTATCTGTAAGTCTGACCAAAGAAGAGCATACCTTTCTCTAAAGCAAGAATCCAATGACGGAAGACATATGGAAATTAACATAAAGCCATTGGTTAGTTAGTGGGAAACTTTTGACAGTTAACATTCTGCAGGAATAACTTACCCACACTTAAATATATTTAGCTGGCACATCAAAAATATTTTCTATAAGTTGCTTATATTTGAGGACTTGTTAGTGGGCAGATAATGGTGGAAAAATGAACCACTAAAATGCATTAATATAGAGAACTTTTCTTACTCTACTGCAGGAGAAACCTGACAGAAGTCTGTACTGGATTTATTAATTAAACTATAGATAGTGGTAATATTTTCCACAATCACCAAGCTAAAAAACCTTGAGTATACCTTTAACAAAAATATAAAGAAATTATATATTTAAGCCAAAGAGTGGGAGCCGGGGGATGCTTGAAGTAAAGGCATACTTTAATGGGAGGAGGTATAGTATGACTCTAATGTTAGGCCATTATTCCTCCTTCAGAATGTTACTGAACTTAGCCTCCTAAATCTGGTGTGGCTGCATAATCTATCATTTAAAACTGTACCTTTTGAGAGCATAAGTAATAGTAATAGTTAATCCCAGACAAAAGGTCTAAGGTACAGTGGTCTGTGCAAACCAGGCTCTATAGTTGCCCTATTTATAACAGGATGATTTGAAACAGCTGCTTTCCACAAGAAGCTGTTGCTAGCACTGGACATATTTTGAAAAAGTAGTTATTTGGGGGCTACTCTAAAAATAAGATCTGGTCCAATTTAATAGGCATATGTTATAACAAATTCTGAAGATAATAGGTTGAGGACTTGAGTTTGTTCAGACCTACAGGAGCTGCATGTGTATCTAAACATTTTTCACATCTTCCAGCTCCACTGCATTAAATTGCAAAATATAAATAAAAAGTCAAACATTCAGGCATAGTATGTGACTTTATAACTTTTTACCCATAAAGTAAGAAAGGATTATACCGGCCCTATAAAAATGCTTCTTTTTGTGTGTGAGTTATCAATGAGAATATATATATATACACACACACATTAACCAACTGATAGGAGTGTATTTTGTTCTAAGTTTTTTGTGAATTAAAACATGCTTTTTTGGCTTAACCATTTCAGAACATCTGTGAGATGCAACTACAAAATGGAAATTGCTTAACAAACTATGAATTAAGAGAGCTACAATTTTGTTTCCCTTTGTCAAGGGAAAATAAAATAAATTTTCCATCAGTCACAATGAGAGCTAGAGGGACTGATTATTTAAAATACAGTAGCGCCTACATTTCTCCAAATATTCCCCAAGACATGGCATTTGTGCTGAGTGTTCAATAATTTCCTCAAGCTGTACACCTGAAAAATATATGTCTCAAGTCTGGTGTTCATAATCTGGTAGACAACCACATGTGTTCACAGCCCATATCTTTGAGACAATTATTCTCTTGGGTATGCAAATATACTGGGTTTGCAACATGTTTATTCAAAAGAGTGGGCAAGAATGTTTCTTATGTGAGCATCTGCAGGTTTCCACTGGAAATCTGCATACAACAATACCTTTTCCCATGAAGTCATTTTTTTAAAAAGACAGTTACACATATTTTAAAGCTTTTCCAAGAGTTCAAGAAACTCAACTCAGTAATCATTTTTCATTAAGAAAACCAGATGAAAGAAACAAAATTAAAGATGCATGTTAGGACCTATTACCCGGTTTATTGTTTAAATCTTTGCATGATATAAGACACAGAATCCTAACATCTGTGTGTTTCTAACTCTCCAGCCTGTTCATCATACCCTAGCTACCTGCTATCCCACTGCTGATTCTAGGTTTAGCCTCACAACTATTCAGATATTTTCTCTTTTCATTACCAACCTTCTCACTTCTTTGTGGGCATAAATTTAAAACAGTTTGAAATTTTTTAAAAAACTAAAAATATTTATCATAGTAAACATATTAATGTACATGTATTGAAAATTGATACTTAAAGTACACAAAGAAGTGAATATATATTTGAAAGAATATTAAATGTTATATATACATATGTACAAACACTAAAGCTTATTGATTTGCCATAATAGATACATATGTAACTAAAATTATATATATAAACAACATTAAGCCCAATAAAGAATAAAAGAACCATTTGTCTTAAACATCCAGGAGATAATTTTGACCATATTTTATTACCACATCAAAAATAAATTCAATAACTTCTCAACAACATACTTCATAAGGCCACATTTTCTTTTCCTAATACATTAAAAACAAAAAGATAGAAAAATTCTATTTCAAATTACGATGAATTATTTTATTTAAACCAAATCTACCAGTTATACAAATTAAAATACTAGATAAAATATTTGAAAATTCCTTTAAAATATTTAAAGAGATTTAAATATTTAAATCTAATACGATTTCAGAGCTAACAACTGGTGAGAACTACAGGCACGAACTTGAGGGTAGGAAGAAGAAAACGTGAATATATAAATTGTATACATGAGCACTGCTATAGTTTGAATGTGTCTCCTCCAAAATTCATATTGAGATTGAATCCCCATTCTGATTGTATTAAGAGAAGGAGCCTTTTGTAAAATAATAAAGGTATGAAGGATCTGTCCTCATTAATGGATTAGTGCCTTATAAAAGGGCTAGAGGGAACGAACTTTGGCCCTTTTTGTTCTTCTGTCTCTTGCACCATGTGAGGAGACAGT
The DNA here is from genome assembly GCF_000001405.40 of Homo sapiens. NCBI lineage: Eukaryota > Metazoa > Chordata > Mammalia > Primates > Hominidae > Homo > Homo sapiens. Next base: position 57,808,029 of record NC_000002.12, read on the forward strand.
GTTCAGCCCCACCAGAGGATGCAGCAACAAGATGCCATCTTGAAAACAGAGAATAGCCCTCACTAGACACCAAATATGTCAGCCCCTTAATCTTGAGCTTCTCAGTCTTCAGCACTGTAAGACAATAAATTTCTGTTCTTTATAAATTACCCAGTCCATGGTATTTCGTTATTGTAGCACAGAAAGACTAAGCCAAGCACCAAACTGCTTTTACCTAGAAGGTGTGTGCTAAGTTTACCAAAATGTGCTATAGGCAGAAGATAAAGGAAGTCAAATCCTAGGGCTTCCTATAGCAGGGAGTCTGAGAGGAGACTCCCTCACGTTAATCTGGAACACGAAGAGTTGCGTACCTAATATGAAAGTTATCCATAAGCAATGCCTTGTAAGTACCGCAAGAACAATTGAGAGAAAAGAAAGAAAAGATTTTAAAATGTTCTTTGAATAAATGTTGTCTCTGGCAAAACTTCCAGTAGATTTGCTTTCTAGAGGTTCCCAAGAATGCCAAGTTTATCCTGGGTTAAAAGTACTTTCTATTCATCACAACTGCATGCACTAGTTAGAAGCAAATGTAAGTCTGGCAGAATGTGCCTTCATTTGGGGCCTCAAAAAATATACTTTTTCAAGGGCAATTGGAGTACACAGACAAAAGGAACAAGTACAAAAAAGAAATAGGGTACTCATGTAAGCCAGAACCAGCAGAAACAGCAGACAGTAAACAGAGATGTGCATCAGATATTGAAATTACCAGATACAGTTCATAAAGCAACAACACTTACTATGTTTAAAGACATGAAAGATACATTTCAAAATATCAGTAAGGAATAGAAAACTATACAAATGTAAAATACAATGAGTGGGAGCTCTCCTGCCATCAATAGCAAATGACATTATTTCAGACCAACCATCTCAGGGAAAACAATTGCAAAATTTGGACAATATATTTATAAACATATTTATACGTATTTTTCCTATCTCCTAAATATTATATTGTCCAAATATATATATATAATTTTAACAAAAATTATGTATACATATGTCCAAATTATATATATTTAGGAAAAGGAAATATATATGTATATTTCCCTATTCCATACTGATATTTAAGTGTATATATACATATATATAAATTATATATAAATGTATATATGAAATCATTTTGAAGAAATTAGAGAGATACCAAGGTTCTAAGAAGAGAATAAAAGCCTAGCAAGGTGAGCCCTGTAACTGAGACTGCAGGGTGATGGCAAATTTCATGCAGGGATTTTGCAGGGACTGAGAAACTGAGCAGATATTTTAACAGATGTGCTAAGTTGAAAAAACAAAAATTAGAGTTCAAGAAGAGATGACCTCATATATACCTCAGGTTTTCAGTTTGGATTTCAAAAGGTTACATTCTAAGAGTAAGTGAAAACTGAAAATAAACCAGTTCTCACAAGTACCAAAGCTCAGTTTCAAATCACTTCAATTTCTTATAGGGTTGAGGTGACTCTGTATTATTAATGTCTCTACTCTAACTGCCTGTCAGAAGCAAAGGTAAATGCATTCTGGAGAATGAGAAGGTCATCCAGAGACTTTAGATATGTTTGCAGTCATGTACAATGTTTGGCAACAATTAACATAACCAGGCCTGGAAGAAAACAAACATAATAAAAAACTTGGAGTATAAGCTGAGTACAGTGGCTCATGCCCGTAATCCCAGCACTTTGGGAGGCCAATGCAGGTGGATCACTTAAGGTCAGGAGTTCAAGACCAGCCTGGCCAACATGATACATCCTTGTCTGTACTAAAAATACAAAAAATTAGTCAGACATGGTAGTGCATGCCTGTGGTCCCAGCTACTCGGGAGGCTGAGGCAGGAGAATAGCTTGAACTCAGGAGGCAGAGGTTGCAGTGAGCTGAGATCATGGACTGCACTCCAGCCTGGGTGACAGAGCAAGACTCTGTCTCAAAACAAACAAACGAAAAAAAACTTGGAGAATATACAAACCACACAAGAGTCCTAAAGAAGATCTATGTAGTGGACCTCAGAGATGCTGAATTAAAAAAAAAAACTGTAATTAATACATCCTAAGAAGTAAAAAACAATACTGATGATGTTAGCAGAAAATTGGTAACCTATAAGTACAAAAAAGAACCAACTGAAAATTCTAGAATTAAAAAGCACAACTTGAAAACAAGAACTCAAACAGACTTAACAAAAATTTGAATAAAGCTGAAAGGACTGTAAACTGAAAGATAAATTAGAACATAATACTAAAACTAAATTATAAAGACATAGAAGGATAGAAAATACAAAAAAGAACATGAGATAATTAGACATGATGAAAGTGTCTGAGTTCCAGAAAAAGAGAGCGTCAGAATAAGTATTTCATGAGAAAATGACTGAAATTCTTCAAAAATTGATATAATATTACAAAAAACAGATATGAGTGAAACAATACATTTCAATAAGAATAAATATAGGTAAAACACCTTTGTACATTTATTATAGAACTTATGAAAACCAAAACAAGAAATATATTTAAAAGTAGCTAGAGAAAAAAGGCATATTGCATGCAAGGAAGCAACAATAAGACTAACAGCTATTAAATAAAAAGTATGTAAGCAAGAAAAATCAAATAATATGGCATCTTGAGAATGTTGATGGAAAACAACTACCAACCTAGGATTCTATATCCATTTAAAATATAAGCAAACTATAGGGTTTTATTTTTTAAAAAAACTCAAAGAATTTATTAACAGTGAATTCATACTTAAGAAAATTTTAAAGGGATTTCTACAGTCAAGGAAAAAAAGATAACAAATGAAACCCAGAGAATCAATAATGTGTTCAGAGCAATTGATAGGGCAGATATAATTCTAATTGAATATTGGCTGAGTGGAATAATATATAGTTGAGTTAAAAACTATATGTACAATTAAATACAATTGTGAATGTCAGAAGAAAAATCATATGTTGTGCTATAGTGCAGTTAGTAAAAGATGAAGCTAACAAGCTAATAGAGGGGAATTTTAAAAAAATAATAATTAAAACAACAAACAGAAAAGAAGGGAAGAAGAAAGTGAAAGAAACATAGGAGACGTAATACAGAAAAAAATAAAAAAGAACTAGTTAATTTAAACTCAAATATATCCCATATTACATGAAATATAAACATATGTTGTCACATTAAATACAAAAAGTAAAATTCAATATACTTGCTTTCTATTAAGAGTAATACTACAAATATAGGATATATATTTTGAAGTAAAAGAATAGGAAACATCTCATGTAAACAATAAAGAAACCTAGTGTAGGTATATTAACATCATTCAAAATACATTTTAAGACCAGAGGCAGTAATAGAGATTAAGAAAGCCATTTCATAACAATGAAAGGTTCAATTTTAAATGTATTTATTTATCTGAAATATAGACTTAACAATATATAAAGGAAAAACTGACATTTCCAAAAAGGAAACATAAACAAACTCACAGCTAAAATGGGAGAATCCAAGAAATATAACTTAATCACTGATGAATCAAGTTGAAATGAAAATCCTCAAAAAAATAGATCTGAATAACAAAATTAATAAATTTGAGCAAATTGACATATTGTAGAAGACTGCATAAAACAATTGTTAAAACTGGAAATATTCTCACCTATAAATAAAAATGCAACCAAATTCAAAGGATTTAACCATATAGAATATGTGATCTAACCAAAACAGAATTAACCTATTAATACTAAAAAGATAAAAGAAAATCTATCTGTATAGGTACACATGTGGATATAAATTAATAAATACAGCACTAAATAATTCATGAGATGAATTTGAAATCAAATGAAAATTAGAAAATATTTTTAACAATAATGAAAATAATACTAAAGGTAGAAGGGGAAAGCTAAAGCCATGCTTAGAGAAATAATTTGTAACCTTAAATGAAAAATTAGAAAAGCTGAAATCAATGTTCAAGCATACTTCTAAAAAAATGAAAGAACAGCAAATTAAATCTAAACAAAATAAAAAGAAAATAACTATAAGAACAAATAAGTGAACTAGAAAAAAAAAATACAGGAGATGAACAAAGCCAAAATTTGGTTCTTTAAAAACAATTTAAAATTGGCAAGACTAATTTTCTTAATTAGTCTTACAAAGAAAATAAATAGCCAATATTAATAAATATGTGAACATTCTTAACGATTCTGTATATCTCAGAAAAATCACGAGAGTATTTGAACAACTGTATGCCAGAGGTTATTAAACTATGGCCTGCTGTCCATATCCACTGTCTGTTTTTATATATCCATGAGCTAAGAATGGTTTACATATTTTTAATGGTTGAAAAAAATAAAAATAATGTATTATATGTGAAAATTATTTGAAATTTAAATTTCAATGCCTATAAATTACATTTTACTGGAACACAGGCACACTTCATTCACATATTATCCATGCCTTCATTCATGAATAGCTATGAGAAGCACTGTATAACCACAAAGCCTAAATTATTTTACTATCTGGCCGTAGATACAAAATATTTGAGGCTGGGCATGGTGGCTCATGCCTGTAATCCCAGCACTTTGAGGCCAGGAGTTTGAGACCAGCCTGGCCAAAATCGTGAAACCCCATCTCTACTAAAAATACAAAAATTAGCTGGGCATGGTGGCATGTCCCTGTGGTCCCAGCTACTCGGGAGGCTGAGGCAGGAGAACCCGGGAGGTGGAGGCTGAGGTGAGCCAAGATTGCACCACCGCACTCCAGCCTGGGCAAACAGAGCAAGACACCATCCCAAAAAAAAAAAAAAAAAAGTTTGCAGACATTTACAAATAAATTTAAATATTTATATTAAAATATTTATTTAAATATTATACATATTTAGATTAAATTAAAAATTCCTAGAGAAATAAAACTTGCCAATAAACCACAAAAAGAAAACAGATGCCTCAAGTCCACTGTTAGAGAAAATGCATCAAGAGAAAAGAAAAATAACAATTTCTCAAATATTTTTATAAAAACATTAAGGCAATAACCTGACGAGGGCATTATCAGAAAGAAAAATTACATATCAATCTCACTCATGAACATAGACGCAATAATTTGAAACAAAATATAGCAAAATAAATTCAGCAATGTATACATAAGATAATGTATTACAACAAAGTTGGTTTATTCTGGGGGAAAAGTTTATAATACTCAAAAATAATCCAAATAATACATATTATCATCTATAGAGATATAGAGAAATATTTGAGAAAATTGAATCATAATAAATAGCCCTAGCACATTTACAAGAGAAGGAGACCTCCTTATTCCAATAAAGGCTGTAGGACATCTACAGTAAACATTACACTTAATGGTGAAATACTGCAAGTATTCCTGTTATTGGGAATGAAATAAAAATGCACGCTGTTACCACTTCTATCCAACAATGTACCTATTACGAGAAGACGAGAAAAGATAAATGGAAGGATTAAAGACTGTTGAGGAAGAAATAAACTTTCTTATTTTCAGATGATGATTGTATATGAAGAAAATTCAAAAGAATTCACAGGTACTTTAATTGAATTAATAAATAAGTTGGCCAGGCATGGCGGTTCACTTCTGTAATCCCAGCCCTTTGGAAGGCTGAGGTGGGAGGACTGCCCGAGAGGTCAGGAATTCAAGATCAGCCAGGGCAACATAATGAGACTTTGTCTATGAAAATAAATAAATGAATAAATATTAGCCAGGAGTGGTAGTCCTGTAGTTCTAGTTAGTCAGGAGGCTGAGGTGGGAGGATCACTTGACCCCAAGAGCTCAAGGCTGCAGTAAACTATGATTATGCTGCTGCACTCTAACCTGGGTGACAGAACAAAACCTCAACTCTAGTTAGTTAATTAATTAATTAATTAACCAAGTACACAAGTTTGGTGGCTTCATGGTCAATATTTTTTAAAGCATCAATTACATACCTATGTAAAAGCAACAAAAATTAGAAAAACTAAGTTTTTAAAAAAATATGTGCAGTAGTAAAAAAATCTTTAAATATCCAGAATTAAAATAATAAAAGCTTTGCAAATCTTCTGCATTGCCAAATAACAAATGTTATGAAGGAAAATTGGAGTGTACAAATATATGGAAGGATATAACATATTCATTGATTGTATTCAACATTTTAAAAAGTTGGTTCTCAAATATATAGATTCAATAATCCAACCAGCTACCCAGCAGCATTTTTATGAAAATAAGACAATTCTAAGATGTATATTGAAAAACAAAGAATAAACAAAGTGAGAGGACTTTGCTAGACATTTATTACTGTAAGTACAAAATAATTAATATTGTGGCATTGGTGCAAGACAGAATAGTCCAGTGAAACAGTTTAGAGGGTCCAGAAACAATCAATATGTGGATTCTTGATTTATGAGAAGAGTGTTACTGCAGATCAGCAGGCAGAAGCTGGTCTTTTCAAAATGTTATATTGGGTCAAATCGATATCTACAGGGAACCAAAGTAGATGACCTTTTGTTTCCATTAGTGGGAGAGTAAATATTTTGAAGTAACCATATGAAATACAATATAATGAGTTACAATGAGTTAAAATACTTTCAATCTTCTTAAAAGTTTTACATAGCTAACAGAAGAATAAGGAACTACCAAGCTGGGTTTAAAAACTATCACCTGTCCAGAGAGAATAGCTTTTAGCCATAAAGCCATTTGTCTACTTGAAAAAAGTGGTGAGAGGTAAAACTAAGTAAGATTTCGTTTGTCTTAGAAGTTAAGAGTCCTGAATGCAACTAAGGTGGAAACCCAGCTACACCAATCCTATTTTGGGTTGAGATTGTGAAGAGCTGCATATTTTGAGTAAAGTGAACCAGAAGTAAACTGGTTCTCACAGAAACTGCAGCCTAACTTTAGTCTTCTGATTGGCCCAGGAATTTTCAAACATTGAATATGGATAAAGAAAATCAGAGATTGCTATCTTTCCCTAGGTGCCAGGCAAAAGGAAACAAAAGTTCTAGATAAACGAAAATAGCATTATCCTAAGCCTTAAAATATTTTTTAAAATAATGTTTTAAGTACACATCCAATATACCAAGTATAAAAGAGGTAAGACTAGACGAAAAAACCTACAGAAAAAATAAAATGGGCAATATTTACAGACCTACAGAAAATCCAGGTTCTGTGATTATTAGACACTATAAAAATTAACACTGTAGAACAACTCATTTTGTTAGAGACAAAAGCTACATTTGAAAAATTCAGAAATGAAGTGGTAAATATATTACATAATATCAGATCTGATAAAGAGTCAAGTAAAAATTCTAGAAAAGAAAATTACAAAGACAAAAATTAAGGACAAAATTAAGAACTTAATAGACTTAGGAACTAAAGAAATTAGAAATGAAATAAAAATCAGAAGAAACTACCCATAATGAAGCAGTGAAAGACAAGGAAAAAGAAAACATAATAGAAAGCAAATATTTAGAGGATCCCTGGAAAGGTACAATACATGTGTACATACATACCTAATTAGAGATTCAAAAGGAAGCTTCTTTAAAGTCAGACAGTAAGACTAACAAAAGTTTTCTTAATACTAAAATTGGAAGCTAAAAGAGAATAATATCATATATTTAAAATACTGATATAAAACAATTGTCAACCTAGAATTTAAAGAACACAATTAATAAATTTGACTTATTGGACATACATAGAATTAGAGACTACACATTCTTTTTGAGGACACAAGACTTACAAAAATTGACCATATACTCATATGTACTGACAAATCAGAAAAATTTCAAATGTTTAATATCGTAGAGCATTTTTTCTCTAAATCAACTGTAATTGCACTAGGAATCAACAACAAAGTAGAATATTACATGTATTTCTAAATTAAGAAATATTTACATCTAAAGTACTTATGAGAAGATAGATAATATTTTCTACTGACTATTAAAAAATACTACCTAGAAAAATCTGAGTGATATAGCTAAAGCAAAACCAAGAAGAATATTTATATTTCTGGATGTGCATATTAGTAAAATTAAAAAGCTAAAATTAAGATTATCATCCATCCCAAGAAGAGAAGAAGAAACAAAACAGAGCTGAAGGAAGAAAATAGTAAAGATAATAGCAAATAGTGAGAAGATTAACAAATGCAAACTTCTTTATTTGAATAAGAAATTGATAGTCTTCTGTTATAAATGATCAGGAAAAAGAGAATGTATAATAAAGTAATATTAAGGGGGAATGAAAAGATGAATCTTACCAAAGACCCAAAGGACATTTGAAACAAATAAGCTTTTGCCACAGACAATTATAAAATTAAAAACCAACCAACAAACAAACATGTTTTGAGGCACTGGCAGCAAAGATCACATGACTGCAATCCTTGAGAGAAGGGAAGTGCCAAATTAAGCCTCACATTTACCCTTGTTTTCTTCCTGGGCATATTTTCTAATCTGCTGTAAATGGAAGAATTACAAGTCCACGAGGCAGAGGAAACAGAGCTGTTAAGGAGACTGAAGTTTGGAAATCAGGAAATTAGAGAGAAGAAAGCATCAATCCAGGAGCAAAAAATATTGATGTAGTGGTATCATTAAAGCCTTTGGCTAACTATTAACCTGAACACACATAGGACAAGATTTCAGGAATTCTAGCAGAAATTGTTACTGAGGGGCTTAGATTGAAACAGAAATTTCATATATTGCACAAAATGGGATCGATGTTGGAGATCAACCCCAGCCAAAGAAAAATATCTTTGGTGAATACCCAGGAATTTTTTTTGAGATCCTAGAAACACCATGCCCTAGGAGTAAGGCCTATACCACAGAATTAAGGGCAATATCAAAATAGACACACCCTATTAAAGCCTAAAACCAACCCTCCACATGATAATCTAGATTATCCACCTGAAATGCAATTATTGCCCAGAACAAAACTGAACCCTCATCAGTGGGTGATAAAATCCTTGAGATTCTATACAAAATATCATTCACAATATCAAAAATACAATTAAAAATTGCTACACATGCAAGGAAACAGGAGTAAATGATTGATAATCAAAAATAAATTATGTGCTTATCCAGAGATGCTTCAGTTATTGAAGTTAGCAGACAAGGTCTTGAAAGTAATTATCACTAATATGACAGTAAATTGAGGAAAAGATAGATAAATAAATGAAAATATGATATGTTTTATTAGAGCATTACAATCTATAAAAATGGAATTTACATGGTAGAAATACAAAATATAATATTACAAATTAAGAACTCAGTGGATATATTTAACAAAAGACTAGGTATATCATAAAATAGGATTAGTAAACTAAAAAACTGGTTATTGAAAACCTTTAAGTTTGATATATAAAGAAAAAAAGAAACCAAAACAGAAATGTAAGAGGGATATGAGACATTGTAGACATGCACATCTTTTGAAGTCCCAGATAAATAGGAGGTAATGTGATAGACAATACTTAAGAAATAATGGTTAAAAATTAGAATTTTCTTCATATGATTAAAGATGTGGTTAATGACATCAACTTATATATTCAAGAACCTCAGTGAACCACAAATAGAATAAACAGAAGAAAAATGACACCAACACATATCATAGTCAAGCTGCTCAAAGCCAAAATTAACTCTAAAAGCAGCCAGAGTGAGAGTAAGGGGCAACTGTTGTTGTTTAGGAGATAACAATAAAAATAAGAGTTTACTTCTCATCATTAGTCATAAAAGTCAGACGACAATGAAATTACATTGTTATAGTTTTGGAAAATGAAATGCCAACATATATTTCTATACCTGGCAAATGTATCTTTCAAAAGTGAAAATGAAATAAAGATATCCTCAGCATAATTTATGGTCAGTGCACCCACTCTACAAGAAAAACAAAAGGAATTTCATCAAACTGGAGGCAAATGATCCCAGAAGGAAGAACAGATGTGGAATATTCGAGCAACATGGTTGCTGAAATTATTTGAATACACATAGAAAACTGTATGCAATTACTACAGAATATTCATTTTTTCAAATGTATGAGAGATCTTCTAATACAGAAATTATATCCTGGGACATAAAGCAAGTTTCAACGCACTCCAAAAAATTGAAATAATAAAATATATTATCTTCAACCATTGTGGAATTAAGTTAGAACTCAATATCTAAATGTTTAGAAATTAAACAACATAATTCTAAATAACCATAAGCCCTGAAGGTCCATGTCCTACAAACCTATGTCTGTAAAATCATCACTACTAAAACTTATCTATGAAAAGAGAGAAAACCTTAGAAGTCATAATGACCTTTAGATAAATTAAATAAGTAATTACACAGCTTTTTACCAAACAAATCAAAGTCTAGATGTTTACCTAAGAATCTAACCATTTAGAAAGAATGACCACAGTACATAAATTATTCCAAGGAAGGGGGAAAAGTGTCCCCTTTTTCTTGTGAAAGGTTTTCACAGTGGATTAAAAAAACTAATTATATGATGTTTACAAGAGGCAAACCATAAATTTCTTTAAATATGAAAAGTTGAAGGTAACGAAGACATAGCAATGATATAAGAAGATCTAAAAAGATATCCCTGTGAATACTTATTAAAATAAAGCTGGTAGATCTATAATAATATGAAAATAGAGTTTAAAACATGAGCATTTATAAAGGACATTTTACAATGAAAAATGTTACTTCATCAAGAACTTATAACAATACTAAATTTGTATCCAGCCAATAACATAGCTTCAAAATATATAAGGCAAAAATAGACAGGACACAAATAAGAAGCGCAAAAATCTACAGTCATTGTAGGAGACTTTACTACACTTGTTCTCAGTAACTGATAGAACTAAATCATATGATGATTTTCTGGCAATATGAACATATACCATAGATGTACCAAAAAAATAAGTTATTTCCAAGTGCCAATGAAATATTTGATAATATTAATATAATGGCTCATTAAAATGCTTTTAAAAAGCTAGCTAATCAAGGATTAAAGTAATATTTTCACTTAAGGATAATTAAGTGCAAATCAATAGCAAAAAGATAACTAGGAATATTCCCAGGTGTTTGGAAACGATGCAAACTCTTCTAAATAATGATTTTTAAAACTACCAAAATTAAATATATTTTATTTATTTTACTTCATATAATGTAAAATATGTTTTAGATATAATGAATATGCCACTTAATAAAAGAAAACAAAAAATATTAGAAAACAAAAAACCCCAAAAATCAATTATTTGTCTATAAAAAGAAGTAACACAAAGAGCAAAATCAAAGAATATAAAAATTTAAAAAAATAACTGCAGAAATTAATAACATGTACAACAAATAACACAGTGAAAAAAATCAACAAGGTTGTGGTAGGCTGGATAATGGCTCCCAAGATACTATAATTCTTGTAGTTTGAATCATATCTTACATGGCAAAAGGAACTTTACATATATGACTAAATTAAGTATTTGGGGAATGGCAGATTATACTGGATTATCTGGGTGGACCCTAAATATAGTCACAAGTGCCTCATAAGACTGAAGCAAAAAAATACGGACTACAGAGACAGAAGGTGACATGACAAAGGAGTCAAGGTACCATGCTTTTGACTGAGAAGATAGAGGAAGGGACCACAAGCCAAGAAAAGCAAGGAACATAATTCTGGACGTTGAAACAGGCAAGAAAATTTATTACTCCATATAATCACTGGAGGGAATATGATCCTGCGGATACCATAATTTTCAGCCCAGTAAAACTGGTTTTGGATTTTTGGCTTACAGAACTGTAAGAAAATAAATGTGTGCTGTTTTAAGCCAACATGTTTGTAGTAACATGTAACATAGGAATAAGAATAAATACAAAAGCCAAAGTTTGGCTTAAAAATATATTATGGCAAACCTAAGGTTTTTTTTTTAATATTGGGAACAAATAAAATATATCATTACATTGATTTTATATATATTAAAAACATAGAGGATTATGATCACAATTTTCTAATAAATTTGAAATTTTAGGTGAAAGGCAAAATGGCACACACAAAAAAATCTTAAAAATGAACACAAGAAGAAACAGCAAATTTCTCTATTCCTAAATCTATTAAGGAATTTGAATATGTTTTTAAAACCCTTCCCACACATAAATCATCATGGATTGCTTCATCACTTAAGTCTTTTAAACTTCTAAGAAAGAAATAATGTCAGTCTTACACCAAGCTTTCCAGTACAAAGGAAAAAGAGAACAATGTTTGAGCATAGCTTAATTCTGAAACCAAAACATGATGAAGCTATTATAAAAAAGGAAAAGTAGTCACTTCTTGGCCTTTTATCTAGAATCAAGTGTAGAAAGGATAGTTATAGCCTAACTATCATGAATATTGATACAGCAATTTTAAACAAAATACTATCAAATAAAATCCAGCAATACATTAAAAAGTATAATACATCACAAAGACATCTCCCCTGCAGGAATGTATAGTTAATTTAACTTTAAAAATCCACCAGTGAACTTCAGGAGGCCAAAGAGGGCAGACGATTTGAGCTCAGGAATTCAAGACCAGGTGTGGCAACATGGTGAAACCCCATCTCTCCAAAAAAACACGAAAATCAGCCAGGCATTTGTGATGCACACCTGTAGTCCTGGTTACTGTGAGAGGCTGAGGTGGGAGGACTACCTGAGCCCAGGAGGCAGAGGTTGGAGTGAGCCCAGATCATGCCACTGGACTCCAGCCTAGGTGACAGAGTGAAACCCTGTCTCAAAAAAAAAAAAAAAAAAAAAAGTGAAGCACTAGATCCATAAAAGTTCACTGCCGAATTCTATAAACACTTAAGGAAGAACTTAAACCAATTCTCTACAATCTCTTTCAAAATACAGAAGCACAGGAAGTACTTCCTAACTCATTTTATAAGGTTAGAATTCCCCAAATATTGAAACTAGATCAAAAAACTACAAGAAAAGGAAACTACAGATCAAAATCTCTCATGAACACAGAAGCAAAAATCTGCCAAAAAAAGCAAATTGAATTGGAAAAATGTATAAAAATAATTACACAGTATATGACTAAGTGTCATTTATCCCATGTATGCAAGACTGGTTTGACATTTGGAAATCAATTGATATATGTCTTAGTTTTTCTGCATTGATATAACAGAATACCACAGGCTGGATAACTATTAAGTAAAAGAAATTAACTTAGCTAATAGTTCTGGAGGCTGGGAAGTCTTAAGAGCATGGTGCTGGCATTTAGTGAAGGCCTTCTTGCTGTGTCATTACATAGTGAAGGCCATCACATGGCAAGAGGGCAAGATTATGCATGTTGGCTTAGGTCTCTCTTCCTCTTTTTATAAAACCACCAATCCTATCATGAGAACTCCACCCTGATTAACTTATCTAATCCTAACTGCCTCCCAAAGGCCCCACCTCCAATCAACATATGAATTTAGGGATTAAGGTTTTAATGCATGCACTTTGAGGATACATTCAAAACACAGCAACGTATCTATCATATCAACTGACTAAATAAGAAAAAAACATGATCATAACAATAGATGCAGAGAAAGCATTTGACGAAATGGAAACCTATTCATTATTTAAATGAAAAAAACCTCTCAGTAAATTAGAAATAAAGGGAAATTTACTCAACTAGGCAAAGAATATCTATACAAAAACAAATGCCCCTACAGCTAACATTATAATTAATTGTAAGAAATATGAAGCTTTCCTCTATTATCAGGATAAAGGCAAAGATGTACCTTCTTACCACTTTTCAACATTGTACTGGGAAGTCCTAGCTACAGCAATAAGAAAAGGAAGTGACAGGTAAGCAAATTGAAAGAAAGAAAGAAAACAGTCTTTGCTTGAAGATGATATGATCTGTGTAGAAAATCTGAAAAATATTGAAAAAATATGTCCTGGAAATAATAAACATTAATAAGAGGGTTGCAGGATATAAGGTTAATATACAAAAGTCAATTGCCTTTCTTTGTACTAGAAATTAACAAGTGAAATTTGATATTAAAATATAGTACCATTTACATTAGCACCCCCAGAAATGAAATATCTAGGTATCGATCCAACAAAATATGGACAAGATTTATGTGAGAGAAATGACTAAACTCTGATAAAAAGAAATTAAAAAGAACAAAATAAATGGAGAGATATTCCATGTTCATAGATAGGAAGACTCAACACTGTCAAAATGTCAGTTCTACCTAACTTGATCAACAGATGCAATGCAATCCCAGTCAAAGTACTGGCAAGTTATTTTGTGACTATTGACTAACTTACTCTAAAGTTTATATGGAAAGGCAAAAGACCCACGGTAATTAAAAAATATTGAAAGGGAAGAACAAAGTTGGAAAACTGACACCACCTGACTTAATATACTATCAAGACAGTGTGGTTTTAGTAAAAAAAAGAGATAGACTAAAACAAAAGAGAGCCCAGAAATAGGTTCACATAAATATAGTCAATTGATTTTCGACAAAGGAGCAAAGGCAATGCAATGAAGAAAATATAATATTTTCAACAAATGGTGCTAAAACAATTACACATCGACATGCAAAATACATAAATAAATTTAGACACAAACCTTACACCCGTATAAAAATTAAGCAAAAATGGCTCACAGAACTAAACATAAAATGAAAAACTATAAAAGATCTTAGAAAATAACATAGAAGAAAATCTAGATGACCATGGATTTGGTCATAACTTTTTACTTGCAATACCAAAGGCACAATCTGGGAAAATAAATTGATAAGCTGAACTTCATTATAATTAAAAAGTCCTATTTTGTGAAAGACACTGTCAAGAGAATGAAAAGACAAGCCACAGATTGGAAGAAAATATTTGCAAAAGGCAAGTATTTTCTTATTATAAGAAAATATCATATTAAAGGATTAATATCATATTAAAGGATTAAATATCATATTAAAGTATTAAAGGATATTAATGTCATATTAAAGGACTGTTATAAATATATACAAATAATTTTTAAAATTTAATAAAATCACAATTAGCTCAATTTAAAAGTGGGCCAAAGACTTTAACAGACATCTCACTAAAGAAGATATAGAGATGGCAAGCTGAAATGCTCCATATCATATTTAATCAGGGAAATTCAAATTAAAATGAAAATAAGAGCCCCCTATGTACCTATTAGCATGGTGAAAATACTGACAGCACCAAATGCTGATGGAGATGTAGAAAAGCAAAAACTTTTATTCATTGCTAGTAAGATTTCAAAATTGTATAATCAATTTGGAAGACAGTTTGGTGCTTTCTTACAAAACTAAACATAATCTTACTATACAATCCAGCGTTATGATCTTTGGTATTTATCCAAAGGAACTGAAAACTCACGTCTACACAAAAACTTAAACACACACATTTATAGCAGCTTTAGTCATAATTGCCAAAATTTGCAAACAACTAAGATGTCCTTCAGGAGATAAATGAATAAATAAACTGTAGTAAACAGCACAATAAAATATTATTTACTATTAAAAAGAAATGAGCTATTATACCATGAAAAGATAAAGAGGAATCTTAATACATATTATTAAGTGAAAGAAGCAAACATAAAAAGGCCACATATTGTATGATTTCAATTATATGACATAGTGAAAAAGGCAAAAGTAGGGAAATGTAAAATATCAGTGGTTGCTAAGGGTTTGAGGAAGGAGGGATAGACAGAGCACAGAGGATTTCTAAGGCAGTGAAACCACACTGTATAATATTATAATGACAGATACTTGCCATCATATATTTACTCAAACTCAAAGAATATATAATGCGAAGAGTGAACACGAATATAAATTATGAACTCTGGGTGATAATGTTTTGTCAATAGAGGTTCATCAAGTATAACAAATGTACCATTCTGGCAGGAGATTTTGATAAGGACGGAGGCCATCGATGTGGTAAGGCTAAGTGTGTAGAGAAGTTTTCTGTATCTTCTGCTTAATTTTGCTGTGAACCTAAAAATAGTCTGAAAAAGTAAAGCCCATTTAAAACAATCTACCAGTCTAATTCACCTTTTTAACAATATAAAGATTCAAATTTCATATAAATTCATATTTATATCTCAATGAAAATTACTAACAAAAAGTTAAAAATAAAGACTACTAAAAATTACAAAACAGTCAGAAAATAACAAAATGGCAATAGTAAATTTTTACCTATCAATAACTTTAAATGTAAATGGCTTAATGGATTTTATGAAACAGAATTCAACTATATGCTGCCAACAAGATATTCACTTTATCTTTAAAAACACATATACATTGAAAGTGAAGGGATGAGAAAAAATTCCATATTAATAAAAATTAATTATTAATAATTAATAATTAACAAAAGAGAGTACGGATATATCAGACAAAATAGACTTAAAGTAAAAAACTATCACAAGGGACAAAAAGGTAACTATTATATAATGATAAAAATGCCAATTCATCAAGAGAATGTAACAATTGTGTGTCTGTGTGCATGTGTGTGTACACATATATACATGCATCCAACATCAGACTACTTAAATATTAACAAATCTGAAGGGAGAAATAGACAGCAATACAATAATAGAGGACTTTAATATCCTACTTTTAGCAATAAATGATCATCTAGACAGAAAGTCAATAAGGAACCACTGGACTTGAACTGCACTTTATACCGAATCAACATAAAATAAATATACAGAACATTTCATCCAAATGCAACAGAATATGTGTTTTTCTCAAGTGCACATGAAACATTCTCCAGGATAGACATATTTTAGGCCACAAAACTAGTCATAAGAAATTTAAGAAGATGGAAATCATACCAAGCACCTTTTCTGACAACCAAGAAATGAAACTAGAAATTGATAGAAGTAAAATTGGAAAATTTACAAATATGTGGAAATTAAACAACATGCTCCTGAAGAACCAGTGGGTCTAAGACATGAAAAGGGAAACAAAAAAACTCTTGTAAACATATGCAAATGGAAACACCACATATCAAAACTTAACGGATGCGGTAAAAGCAGTTCTAAGAGGAAAGTTTATAGCAATAAATGCTTACATTAAAAAAGCAGAAATATCTCAAATAAGTAACCTAACATTACACCTCAAGGAACTAGAAAAAGAAGGATAAAATAAGAACAAAGTTAATAAAAGCAAGGATAAAAAAATAACAAAGATCAGAGAACACATGTGTGAAATAGCAATAAAACAATAGAGTTAATCAAGAGTTGCTTTTTTAAAAAAGATAATCGAAATTGGCAAACCTTTAGCTAGATTAATTAAAAAAGAGAGAAGACTAAAATAAATAGAATCAAAAATAAAAGAGGAGACACTGTAACTAATACCACAGAATTACAAAGGATCATAAGAAACTGCTATGAACAATTATATGCCAACAATTTGGATAACCTAGAAGAACAAATTCCTAAACAGATAAAACCTACTCAGACTGAATTCTGAAGAAATAGAATATGTGAACAAACCAATAACAAGCAAGGAGCCTAATCAGTAATAAAACTTCTCCTGTCAAAGAAAATCTCAGAACCTGTTGTCTTCATAATTGAAATTTACCAAACATTTAAACAATAACACCAATCCTCAAACTCCTCCAAAAAATTAAAGAGAGAATACTTCCAAACTTATGAGGCCAGCATTACCCCAATATCAAAACTAGACAAAGACACTATAAGAAAAAGAAATGACAGGCCAATGTTTCTGATTAACATAGATGCAAAAATCCTCAACAGAAAAACTCAGAAAACTGAATTCAAGAGCCCATTACAAGGATCATACACCATAATCAACTGGGATTCACCCCTGGGATGCAAGAAGGTTCAAACATATGCAAATCAATAAATACAGTATACCAAATTACCAGAAGGAAGGACAAAAAACATATTATCCTCTCCATGAATGAAGAAAAACCATTTGACAAAATTTAACATCATTTCATGATTAAAGAAAAAAAAAAGGCCTCCACCAATTAAGTATAGAAGGACTGTACCTTAACACAGTGAATGAAGACTGTGTATTATGAGCCCACAGCTAACATCATACTTAACAGTGAAAAGCTGAAGCTTTTACTCTAAGATCAGGAACAAAACAAGAATGACTACTCTTGCCATTTCTATACAACATAGTAGTGGAAGTCCTAGCCAAAACAATTAGGCAAGAAAAAAGAAATTAAAGGCATCCAAGTCATAAAAGAAGTTAAATTACCTGTGTTTACTGATGATTTTTTTTAAAAAAGGATATATATTTTTTCATACAGAAAACTTTAAAGACCACGAAAAAACCATTACTACTAATACTGTAAGTAAAACTGAAGGATACAGAATCAACACACAAAAATTAGTAGTGTTTCCATAAACTAAAAACAAATTATCCAAAAAAGAATCAAGACAAAAATCTCACTTACAATAGCATCAAAAAGAGTAAAATATGTAGGAATAAATTTAACCTAGGAAGTGAAAAACCTACATACTGGACAGATAAATTATAAAACACAGACAAAAGAAATTTAATAAAACACAAATAAATAGAAAGGTATACTATATTTCTGGATTGGAAGAATCAAACAACTTTATATTGTTAAAAATGCCCATACTATTCAAAGCAATCTGCAGACTTAATGTAATTCCTACCAAAACTCCAATGGCATTTTTACAGAAATAGAAAAAAAATACTAAAATACATATGGAACCACAAAATACACCGAATAGTCAATGCAATCTTGAGGAAAAAAGTACAAAGTTAAAGGAACCACATTTTCTGATCTCATACCATATTACAAAGCTATAGTAATCAACACTGCATGGTAATGCCATAAAAACAGATAATTGAAAATAATAGAGAGCTCAGAAACAAATCCCATGCATTTATATCAATTGATTTCAACAGAGGTATCAAAATCATACAATGAAAAAAGGACAGTTTCTTCAATAAATAGTGCTAAGAAAACTGGGTATCTACATGTAGCAGAAAAAAATTGCACCCTTAACTCAAACTACATACAAAAATCAACTCAAAACGAAGATTTAAACACAAGGTTTGAAATGATAAAACTACTAAAAGAAAACAAAGGATAAAGACTTCTTGACATTGATCTGGAAAATTACTTTTTGGATCCCAAAAGCATACACAACAAAAGCACAAACAGACAAATGGGATGAAACCAATCTAAAGGTTTCTGCAAAGCAGAGGAAATAACAGAGTAAAAAGACAACCTATGGCATGGGAAAAAATAATTGCAAACCTTCCATATGATAAGAGGTTAATATATAAAATATATAAAGAACTCAAACAACTCAATAGCAAACAAACAGGTAACCTGATCTAAAAATGGGCAAAGGACCTGAATAGACATTTTTCAAAAGAAGTCATACAAATGGCCAATAGGCATATAAAAAAATACTTAACATCGCTAATCATTGGGGAAATGCAAATCAAAACCACAATGAGATGTCACCTCACACTTGTTAGAATAGCTGTTATCAAAAATACAAAATATAAACAGTAGCAAAGATGTGGAGTAAAGGGAAACCTTGTACACTGTCAATAAGAATGTAAACTGATACAGCTATTAAGGAAAACAGAATGAAATTTCCTCAAAAAGTTAAAATAGCGTTTTTGGAGGCTGGCAAGATGGCCAAATAGGAACAGCTGTGGTCTGCAACGCCCAGCAAAATCAACCTAGAAGGCAGGTGATTACTGCATTTCCAACTGAGGTACCTGGCTCTTCTCACTGGGACTGGTTAGACAGTAGGTGCAGCCCACAGAGGGTGAGCCAAAGCAGGGTGGGGCATCACCTCACCCAGGAAACACAAAGGGTCAGGGAACTCCCTCCCCTAGCCAAGGAAAGCCGTGAGGGATTGTGCTGTGAGGAACGGTGCACTCCAGCCCAGATTCTATGCTTTTCTCGCAGTCTTCACAACTCACAGACCAGGAGATCCCCTCTGGTGCCTATGCTACCAGGCTCCTGGGTTTCAAGCACAAAACTGGGCGGCAATTTGGGCAGACACTGAGCTAGTTGCAGGAGTTTTTTTTTTGTTTTTTTTGTTTTTTTTTTTTGTTTTTCTCCATACTCCAGGGGTGCCTGGAACACCAGCAAGACAGACCTGTTCACTCCACCGGAAAGGGAGCTGAAGCCAGGGAGCCAAGTGATCTAGCTCAGCAGATCCCACCCACACGGAGCCCAGCAAGCTAAGATCCACTGGCTTGAAATTCTCGCTGCCAGCACAGCAGTCTGAAGTCGACCTGGGAAGCTCAAGCCTAGTGGGGATGGGGCCTCCACCATTACTGAGGCTTGAGTAGGCAGTTTTCCCCTCACAGTGTAAACAAAGCCACCAGGAAGTTCCAAATGGGCTGAGCCCTCCACAGCTCAGCAAAGCTACTGTAGCCAGACTGCCTCTCTAGATTCCTCTTATCTGCGCAGGGCATCTCTGAAAAAAGTCAGCAGCCCCAGTCAGGGGCTTATAGATAAAACCTCCATCTCCCTGGGACAGAACACCTGGGGGAAGGGGTGGCTGCGGATGCAGCTTCAGCAGACTTAAACATCCCTGCCTACCAGCTCTGAAGAGAGCAGTAGATCTCTCAGCACAGCGCTTGAACTCTGCTAATGGTCAGACTGCTTCCTCAAGTAGGTCCCTGACCCCCATGTCTCTTGAGTGGGAGACACCTCCCCACAGGGGCTGACAGACATCTCATACAGGAGAGCTCCAGCTGGCACCTGGCGGGTGCCCCTCTGGGACAAAGCTTCCAGAGGAAGGAACAGGCAGCAATCTTTGCTATTCTGCAGCCTCCGCTGGTGATATCCAGGCAAACAGGGTCTGGAGTGGACCTCTAGCAAACTCCAGCAGAACTGCAGCAGGGGGGCCTGACTGTTAGAAGGAAAATGAACAAACAGAAAGGAATGGCAACAACATCAACAAAAAACGTCCAGACACAGAAACCACATCCGAAGGTCACCAACGTCAAAGGTAGATAAATCCACGAAGATGGGGAGAAACCAGTGCAAAAAGGCTGAAAATTCCAAAAACCAGAATGCCTTTTCTCCTCCAAAGGATCACAACTCCTTGCCAGCAAGGGAACAAAACTGGACGGACAATGAGATTGACGAATTGACAGAAGTAGGCTTCAGAAGGTGGGTAATAACAAACTCTTCCAAGCTAAAAGAGCATGTTCTAACCCAATGCAAGGAAGCTAAGAACCTTGAAAAAAGGTTAGAGGAATTGCTAACTAGAATAACCAGTTTAGAGAAGAACATAAATGACCTGATGGAGCTGAAAAACACAACAGGAGAACTTTGTGAGACATACACAGATATCAACAGCTGAATCTATCCAGCTATTGATAGATAGGAAAGAAAGGATATCAGATTTGGAGATCAACTTAATGAAATAAAACATGAAGACTGAATTAGAGTAAAAAAGAATGAAAAGGAACAAACAAAGCCTCCAAGAAATAGGATTATGTAAAAAGACCAAACCTGTGTTTGACTGGTGTACCTGAAAGTGATGGGGAGAGTGGAACCAAGTTGGAAAACACTCTTCAGGATATTATCCAGGAGAACATCTCCAACCTAGCAAGGCAGGCCAACATTCAAATTCAGGAAATACAGAGAACACCATAAAGATACTCCTCAAGAAGAGCAACCCCAAGATACATAATCATCAGATTCACCAATGTTGAAATAAAGGAAAAAATGTTACGGGCAGCCAGAGAGAAAGGTTGGGTTACCCACAAAGGGAAGCCCATCAGACAGCAGATCTCTCTGCAGAAAGCCTACAAGCCAGAAGACAGTGGGGGCCAATATTCAACATTCTTAAAGAATTTTCAAACCAAAATTTTATATCCAGCCAAACTAAGCTTCATAAGTGAAGGAGAAATAAAATCCTTTACAGACAAGCAAATGCTGAGAGACTTTGTCACCACCAGACCTGCCTTACAAGAGCTCCTGAAGGAAGCACTAAACATGGAAAGGAACAACCGGTACCAGCCACTGCAAAAACATAACAAATTGTAAAGACCATTGACGCTATGAAGAAACTGCATCAACTAATGGGTAAAATAACCAGCTAGCATCATAATAACAGGATCAAATTCACACATGAGAATATTAAACTTAAATGTAAATGGGCTAAATGCCTCAATTAAAAGACACAGACTGGCAAATTGGATAAAGAGTCAAGACGCATCAATGTGCTGCATTCAGGAGACCCATCTCACATGCAAAGACACACATAAGCTCAAAATAAAGGGATGGAGGAATATTTACCAAGCAAACGGAAAGCCAAAAATAAAAAGCAGGGGTTGCGATCCTACTCTCTGATGAAACAGACTTTAAACCAACAAAGATCAAAAGAGACAAAGAAGGGCATTACATAATGGTAAAGGGATCAATGCAACAAGAAGCACTAACTCTCCTAAATATACATGCACCCAATACAGGAGCACCCAGATTCATAAAGCGAGTTCTTAGAGACCTACAAAGACACTTAGACTCCCACACAATAATAGTGGGAGACTTTAACACCCCACTTTGAATATTAGGCAGATCAACAAGACAGAAAATTAAAAGGATATTCAGGACATGAATTCAGCTGTGGACCAAGAAGCCCTAATAGACATCTACACAACTCTCCACCCCAAATCAAAAGAATATACATTCTTCTCAGCACCACATCGCACTTATTCTAAAATTGACCACACAATTGGAAGTAAAACACTACTAAGCAAATGCAAAAGGATGGAAATCATAACAAGCAGTCTCTCAGACCACAGTGCCATTAAATTAGAACTCAGGATTAAGAAACTCACGCAAAACCACACAACTACATGGAAACTGAACAACCTGCTCCTGAATGACTACTGAGTAAATAATAAAATTAAGGCAGAAATACATAAGTTCTTTGAAACCAATGAGAACAAAGACACAACATACCACAACTCTGGGACCAAGCTAAAGCAGTGTTTAGAGGAGAATTTATAGGACTAAATGCCCACAAGAGAAACTGTGTGCAGGAAAGATCCTATAATTGATACCCTAACATCACAATTAAAGAACTAGAGAAGCAAGAGCAAACAAATTCAAAAGCTAGCAGAAGACAAGAAATAACTAAGATCAGAGCAGAACTGAAGGAGATAGAGACAAGAAATAACTAAGATCAGAGCAGAACTGAAGGAGATAGAGACATAAAAAAACCCTTCAAAAAAAAAAATCAATGAATCCAGGAGCTGGTTTTTTGAAAAGATCAACAAAATAGATAGACCACTAGCCAGACTAATAAAGAAAAGAGAGAAGAATCAAATAAATGCAATAAAAAATGATAAAGGGGATATCACTACTGATCCCACAGAAATACAAAGTACCATCAGAGAATACTATAAACACCTCTATGCAAATCAACTAGAAAATCTAGAAGAAATGGATAAATTCCTGGACATATACATTCTCCCAAGTCTAAACCAGGAAGAAGTGGAATCCCTGAATAGAATAGTACAAAAACAAGTTCTGAAATTGAGGCAGTAATTAATAGCCTACCAACCAAAAAAAGCCCAGTACAAGAAGGATTCACAGCCGAATTCTACCAGAGGTACAAAGAGGAGCATATACCATTCCTTCTGAAACTATTCCAAACAATAGAAAAAGAGGGAGTCCTCCCTGAGTCATTTTATGAGGCCAGCATCATCCTGATACCAAAACCTGGCAGAGACACAACAAAAAAAGAAAATTTCAGGCCAATATCCTTGATTAACATCAATGTAAAAATTCTCAGTAAAATACTGGCAAACCAAATCCAGCAGCATATAAAAAGCTTCAAGTTAATGGGTGCAGCACACCAACATGGCACATGTATACATATGTAACAAACCTGCACGTTGTGCACATGTACCCTAGAACTTAAAGTTTTTATATATACAAGTGTATATATATACACACATATATATGAGGCTTATCTACCATGATTCAGTCGGCTTCATCCCTGGGATGCAAGGCTGGTTCAACATATGCAAATCAATACATGTAATCCATCATATAAACAGAACCAATGACAAAAACCACACGATTATCTAAACAGATGCAGAAAAGGCCTTTGACAAAATTTAACACTGCTTCATGCTAAAACATCTCAATAAACTAGGTATTGATGCAACATACCTCAAAATAATGAGCTATTTATGACAAACCCACAGCCAATATCATACTGAATGGGCAACAGCTGGAAGCATTCCCTTTGAAAACTGGCACAAGACAGGGATGCCCTCTCTCACCACTCCTATTCAACATAGTATTGGAAGTTCTGGCCAGGGCAGTCAGGCAAGAGAAAGAAATAAAGAGTATTCAAATAGGAAGACAGGACGTCAAATTATCTCTGTTTGCAGATGACATGATTGTATATTTAGAAAACCCCATTTTCTCAGCCAAAAATCTCCTTTAAGTGGATAAGCAACTTCAGCAAAGTCTCAGGATACAAAATCAATGTGCAAAAATCACAAGCATTCCTATACACCAATAATAGACAAACGTAACCAAATCATGAGTGAACTCCCATTCACAATTGCTGTAAAGAGTATAAAATACCTAGGAATACAACTTACAAGGGATGTGAAGGACCTCTTCAAGGAGAACTACAAACCACTGCTCAAGGAAATAAGAGAGGACACAAACAAATGGCACAACATTCCATGCTCATGGATAGGAAGAATCAATATTGTGAAAATGGCCATACTGCCTAAAGTAATTTATAGATTCAGTGCTATCCCCATCAAGCTACCATTGATTTTCTTCACAGAATTAGAAACCCTCTTCAAGGAGAACTACAAACCACTGCTCAAGGAAATAAGAGAGGACACAAACAAATGGCAAAACATTCCATGCTCATGGATAGGAAGAATCAATATTGTGAAAATGGCCATACTGCCTAAAGTAATTTATAGATTCACTGTATATGCTCTACTTCAAAAAAAGTTTACCTTTAGGAAAAGTAAAACATAATATTTCTTCATGATCTCTTGTTTGGAAAATGTTAATTCCTTATACATTATTTTGAATTTAGTATTTTATTTATTTATTCAATACATATTTATAGGGCATCTGAACATCACATTGTTAGAATTTTGTCCTTGTTACTAAATACTCTTTGAAACTTATTTTTAATGACTGCATAATACATCAAAATATGTGTGATTTTATAATTTCTTTACTTTTTTAACTATGGAGCATTTGCATGGTTTACAATTTTACACTATTATAAATAGTACTGAAATGAATATCCTTGTACTTTAATTTTTGACGATCCTTAAAAATTACCACCTACATTTACTGGGTCTAAGGGGTATAAACATTTTTTTCCAGATTGTTGTACAGAAAATGTGTACTGACTTGCAGTCCCATAGAATCTCTGTAGTTTTTCCATATAAGTTGTAAAACAGCGAGGTTTTTGGTATGGAATGCATTTTCTGATACATCTTAATATAAGGATCCTTAAAGAAGGTAGCCATTGTTTCTCACTGTGTAGAATCCAAATTAGCCTAGACCCAACTCTTACCTGTTCTCTGCAAAATCATTTAATCATTTTAATTTGTATGGATTACATCACAGAACAGTCATGGTACAAGTAACCAATTCCATGGAAAGAGCATGGATTGTAAGGAGAGCCAGACCCATTTGAATCTTAGCCTTCCTACTTGCTACCCATCTGACTTGGTAAGTGATTTCAACTATCTGACCATTAGTTTCCACCTATGCAAAAGAAGATAATCATAAACAATACACAGGATTGCTTTGGAGACTAAGGATGTAATATATATAAAGAGCCTCACATAATATCTGGCACAGTTGTTATTTAATACATTAGGGTTTTTACCTACCTTTTCAATCATGGTATGTTTTTAATTATCCATAGTAAAAGGTCAAACGGTATAGATAATTCCAAAACTTTATATCACACCAGACTTTTTACTGCTGATGATAAAATATAAGAAAGCTGATTTATTTCAGCTTCTCCACCTATTCCTGCCCTCCTAGCCAAAGTAAGGAGACTGAATTACACAGAAACTGCAGAATCAATCTATAAATAATTAAGAGCTGGTCTTAGGTCGTGTTTTATGCTCAAAAACCTGAATCATTATGAAATTAAAAGCCTCTTTGCAAGTTGTGTTTTCATTTGGTCTTTAATAAGTAACTTTCAAGTGCCTTGCTTTTTTTCAAAGGGCCTTTAAAAATCGCATCGGGGTTAGGAAAGGGTTCCACTTAACAATATTTTTTTTCATGTGACCACTATTATTAAGACAATTACCACTGATCATTTTTTAATGATATTTCAAAACCACTTGAATATTTTTAAAAAGGTCACACAAAGCTACATAACTTATAAAACTGAACAGCAAAAATGGGGCTTCTGCATTTGTTCAGACATGTACCAGGTTTTAGTTCCTACAGGCTCACAGACGGTTTTCTCCTTAACAGTTTGCCAAATGTATTTTAGAATGTCCAAAATTTAAAATGTTGATGTATGTGAACCAACTACATAATGAAAGAATCCATGCACCATTAAAATGATAATGTGAATCACTATTTCCCTCCAATGTGCTAAGTGCAACTAACTAGATCACATGGAGAGGATCAGCAAGGTAAATTGTTAATATTTTGAGTGAGAAAGAGAGATAGACATCCCCAAGTCAACCTAGCTTTTGTTTTTTTGTTTTTTGGCTTTTATAAAGATGATTCTTTCTCTTTTTGTTGCAAATATCAAATTATGACCATGAAATATGTATAACAAGCTCCAATCCAATTCCTGATTATTCAGAGCCTAATCATACAGTTTGTGTTTTACCCCAGCCATTTGCTTCTACTTTTTCTGCCTGCTGCCTGCCTTTTGCCATTTCACTGCTTGTTAGTCTTTGGCCAGAGTATCCCAGAAAAAGGAATTTTAAAAAAGAGGTGGGGGGAGGCAGGCCAAACCATCTGAACTTCTTCCAGTTTTGTCTAAAGTTCCTAGAGCAGGAGCTCTAAGAATGTGCACATAAGATTCTTAGATTATTGTTGACTCTCATTGTATTTTCCCAAGCCTCCGCACCCCCACTACTTCTATTAATACTTCAGAGATATTCATTTTTATGGACTTTCTATTTTTCAGAGGAAAAGAGCTACCTTTTCCAAGAAGAAGGAAAAGCATCTAACATTTTTATTTTGTATATAAAAAGCCGGAATATTTTGTCTTCTATGTGGTTTGTGCCCTAGAAGAAAATGGCCACTGTCAGTTCTAGCCCAGTCACTAAAACGCATTGCATATTTCTTGACCGACTCCTTCAGAACTCATCTTTCTCATATGGAAACACAATTATTAATAACAATCCTACCTACTTTTCAAGAGTCGTTCACAATGATTGGCTGAAATAACAAAAACAAATATTCTTTGGAAAATAAACTTAAAGAACCTGATGTCTATAAACAAAAGCGAACAAAAATTGTTCTATGAAAAGATGCAGTGGAAAAATAACTGAATTTAGAACACACTGGGCTTGAGTTCAGTTTCAGTCCTGACACTGTATTTGTGATCTTGGGCAAGATTTTTAATAAATCTAATTTCCAGTTCCTTGCCTGTAATGAGGATGATGATGCTATGAAGTACTAGTGAAGGCACAGAGCATACATTGCTTGTGGAAATGCAAAGTGATATCAACCTTCTGGGAAACAGTTTGGCACTTTCTTAAGAAGTTAAACATGTACTTACCATATGATCCAATGATACCACTGCTAGATATTTCCCCCCAACAAACAAAAACTAATGTTCGCAAAATCCCTATCTGTGAATCTTCACAGAAAATTTATTCCTAATTGCCAAATTCCGGAAACAACCCAGATGTTCTTCACACGAATTGATAATCAAATCATGGTACATTCATACATAGGATACTACTCAACAATGAAGAGACACAAACTATTGACTCACACATATATGAAGCTTAAATACATTTTACTAAGAAGATATACCTGTAAGTGTACATATTGCATTATTTCATTTATATGATGTCATAAAGGGCAAAATTATAAGAGTAAAAATCAGTGTCAAGAATACAAGTTAGTAGAAAGAATATTTTACAATGAGGGATCATGAGGGCATTTTGAGGACAACGAAACTTATCATGACTGTAATGGTAGATAAATGGCTCTATACATTTTTCAAACCCATAGCCTTGTACATATCACAAAGAATTAGTGTATAAATTTTTAAAAGTCAATTAGAATGCGGTGGAACCCAAAAATGAAAACAAGCTACATGAATAAACCAACTATATTACAAATGAATAGCATAATCATAAGGAATTTGAAAGGAAAAAATAACCTAAGTTACTTTGGAAAAAAAGTATATTGGCTGAATATTATGAGGCTAAAGATAAAAAGTACTCTACTCAAACACTATAACCTAGTTAGAAAAATTATTTATTACACATTAATGGGTCAGGCAATCTGGAACTAATTTATGTGTATATACCAAGGTTGATCAAATAGGTAAATATAACACAAAAAGAAGAGCCAGATTTCTCAATGTTCGAGAAAGAAGTTACAAATAATGAAGAAAAGGCAATCCTGAACCTTACTGTATTAAACTGGAATTGCAAGTATCAGTATGAACTCATTTTTAAATATATGTATGCAGATAAATACAGAAATAAAAATATATGTATGCATATACATGTGTCATTATACACACATATATTTTCTAGCTCTGTCTATTGAAAGGGTTAAGAAGTAATGTCACCCAGTAGCAGTCAGCACACCTAGACCCAGAACTTAGTTTCTAAATGTTATTTTTCAACAAAAGAAACAATGGCTTCTTGGTAAAGTGGTTTCGAGAGATCTGCGATAGAGAAAATTAAAATGAGTTTAGAGCAAACTTGTCCAGCCTGTGACTGGCAGGCCGGACATGGCCCAGGGCAGCTTTGAATGTGGCCCAACACAAATTTGTAAACTTTCTTAAACCATTTTGAGATTTTTTTGCTTTTTTTTTTTTTTTTTTTTAGCTCATCAGCTATCTTTAGTGTATTTTGTGTGTGGACGAAGGCAATTTTTCTTCTTTCAATGTGGCCAAGGGAAGCCAAAGCTCCTGGTTCGGAGCATTTTGTGGTGTCACAAAGTAAGGAAGTGCTCAAAAAAGATGGCGCATGTTGAAGGGCACAAGCACCAGTGTGAAAGAGTTCCACATGGCCAAAGTGAAGACAAACTGAGTAACAAAATGAATAATGATGGTATTGCTTTATAGCCCATAGAAGGAAATTAATATTTATGAGTTCATACTGATGTAAATAGGTGAATTAAAAATAAATAGGGAAGAAGGGGAAGTTCTTTTTATAAAAATAATTTCAAGTTATAAGCAGAGAAGGAATGCAGGAAATAGAAAAATCACCATTAGACAATCACAATAATAATTGTTGCAAACCCGATCTGCCAATAGATGCTAAAATTTGTGGGTAAAGTTTGAGGAGAAACAGAATATTTATATAACCTCAAATAATCTCCCCTGGGATACTTATTTATTACAAAGAGGAAAGTAATAACTTTATAGTGGAAAATCCAGCAGACATCACCTTAAGAGCACTCTAATAAGATATATCAATATGACGTATCTCCTGATGTTATAAATGAGAAGGGTGCATCATTTCTGTAGTATCCTTGTGAAACATGCATAACCTTAATTATGAGAAATAAATCAAACAATATAAATCAAGGGTTATTCTACTAAAGAGCTGACCAGTACTTTTCAAAAGTGTCAAAGTCACACAAAGGTATGTTGCCTTCATGGTCACCTGCCTATGTTGTGGAATCCTGAATTGGATACTGGAAGAAAGGAAAAAGAACCATAATTTTTTAAGAAAACTGGTGAAATCTGAATAAAGTCTGTAGTTTCAGTCAGTAATATTACACCAATGTTAATTTCTTAATTTTGATCATCATACTATGCAAGATGTTACATTAGGAAAAACTGAATGAATTATGTACAGGAATTACATACTGTTGTTGCAACTTTTCTGTAAGCCGAAATTTTTTTTAAATAAAACATTTAAAAATTATATTGAGGAATCAGGAAGTAAATTCTGCATCATGCCATCAATTCAGAATAACCAAACATCATTTACAACTTTTTATGAATTATTTTGGTATATGACATAACACAAGGTAGAAACAAATTTTCAGTGATAATTTTGTCTTGCTCTTGTCCTATCTGACACTAGGGGTCTTTGACAATCCTATTTCGGTATTTTTTGCAAATGATAAAATCTCATTCTGATGATATTTACAAATCAATGCCCTAATGCTGTTTGGGATGGGGAACAATATTAATTTAATCTAATCACTCTTATGGATGGGAAGGACAGAAATGAATTATAGATCTGAATCAAATCCAATAGGTATGTTAGTTTACCTGGATTTGAAATGAAGAAAATATCAACTGTTTAAGGATAGAAAATATTTATCCAAAGGGATAATTATTCTCAGCAATGAGTGTCTAAAACTAAAACTTAATGCCACCAACATTCCTGAATATGATAAGACCATCTGTATGGTTTTTTTTTTTAAACAAAAAAAAAAACCAATACATTCTCACAGGCAGTAACTTCAGGACTTATCTCATTGCCAAGATATGGGAAACAATACCATTGCTATATTTTGTCGACTCGGTTCTTTCTCATACTTGATCTTTTAAGTATAATTTTTTAAAATTAAGTAAAGATAAGTTGTGAGCTCTGTAAAATAGAACACTGGAGAAGACATACAAAAGGCATGTGACTTCAACAGCTCCATATATTATTTGGAAGTGTATATTTTTCACAAAAGTTTTAAGGGCAATACTTTTTTCCTTATTTTTGACCAACTTTTATGCTTGCATCATAAGCGCATTTTTTTCCTTTGACTCAAACTCCACATCAACTTTAATTTCATGGTCTCTGTAAAACATATGCCTTTATAATGATTTTATCAATTTTAATCTTCTCACTGGATAGAAACCAAATATTAATATCTTTAGTATTACCACCTAGAGGGATTTTTGAATGGGCATACTTAAGACTGTAAGATCTCATTCACTTATTCATGTAGAGGTTTTTAAAGGAAAGAAAGAGATTTGTTGAGTTTATCAGGATATTCAAAACAAGCCATGTCTTCTTAATTTTACAAGTCTAAGTTTTTCCATATTGAATCAATGGTTACACATATACACTAGCAAGTAGGAAGCATTGCTTGATTTCTATCGTTATAGAAATAAATTGAGCCATCATTATTTTCCTAGAGTGCTCTGATTTCAACATAAATCAGAATTCATTAGTAGCAACAAATCTGTGATACTCTAATATCTGCTACTGCAGTAATAGTCAAATTGTATTCAGACCCCTTATCTGAAGAAGTTCGTATTAGGCAAAAAAGAACGGAGAGCAGGAAAAAAAAAAGCGTAGAATTTCTCAGCAAGGTATGCTTACAGTTAGCACATAAAGTAAAATGCCCTTTATCAAATGTTATGCCATATGAAGCTAAAAGTACTATGTGTAAAGCACAAAACTATGAAAATGTTATTTGTAATGAGATATATACTATCAACAAGAAATAACTTATTTAAATCCCTATCTATTAAAAAGATAAAATTTTCCATAGCTTAAATCTATCCTATGGAATATAACTCTAGCACTCACTGAATTGAATGACAAAGGAGATGGCTAAGATGCAAAATTAAATAATACGTATTAAGGGTAATAGCACAATTATCTATTGATAGAACACTGTCATATAACCAGTGCCTACTTTGTCAGGTTCTTTAAATATACCTGATCTTCACAATAGCTCTGCAAGTTCAGTATTCTATTTTACAAATGAAGAAACTTAGACCAAGAATTTAAGCAATTTGCCCAAAGCCACACAACCAGTAATTGTCTCGCTTCCCAGTTCACAAGATCAGTCTCCTAAAACCTCCTGCTATTCTTGAGAACTCATAGAAAAAACATCTTATGTTCCTACCAAGACATTTCTAATGCATATAGACTGCAGTATTTCTAGATGTAAAGCCTGACTTCATCATTCACACTCTGAGGAAGTAAAAGATTACCTCAGATGGAAATTTCTAGAAGATACTCTTTTCACTCTCTTCCCCCACTCAAGCACCTTTTGTGACAATCAGAATTTCTCTGGATCTCCTCATGTTTGGGGTACAAATGATGCTAAAAGTACAGAAATGGTTTAATATCAGTGGCTTATCAGAGGCACTTTCCAGTTCCCTCCAAGACTAACCTAAATCTTCCTTGGCATTCTCACCCTCACAGGTGCTCAGAGTTAGGGTTATGCCCCCTCCCATCCATGTTCTAGGTATAGTCACTTTCCACCCTCAGTTAGCAGTCAGTAAATGTCACCATGATGCCAGGAATATATTTTAGTGTGAAATGAAGTTAAGGGTTCAGGGGTTAGGATAAAATGATTCTCTTCTCCACTCTGTTTATACCTTGTAATCTCCTCTTTAAGTTAACAGATTTATTCCTAGAATCTCAAAACTTCCCTCATGAACACCATGCCTCTAGATTCTGGTTCTATTTTTTCCCCACATATAAGGAAATGAAGGTTCTGGTTAACTCTTCTCCCTCCAGACTTTAAATTAGTGCAGAAGTTTAAGATGAGACAGATTCCCATTTCCCCTCATCTCTATATTTGGCACTTCCTCACAGAACTCGAGATTCCCCCTCCTTTTGAGCTTCACACGTGCGTGCACACGCACACAGATACATATACACTCTCACACACACACACACATACATTAAAAATTCATTCAAATAAATCCCTAGAATGATCACCAGCACAGCAGTTCCATAATTAGACAAATTTTAAATTGAAATTTGAAATTATATTAACACTCTATGATCTCTCTCAAACTGGAGAGCTCCTACTGATCTTTCAAAACCTCTCTGAAGTCTTTCCTGATATCCCCCACACATAGTTGGTCCTGAATCCTTTGACCCTGTTCACATTATCCATATCACCTTTAATTTTAATGTCTTACTTAGGTGTCTATTTCCTTACAGAGCTCCTGGAGAGTATAGATCATTTCTTATTCAACCAGCACAGTATTAACATCCTTAGCACAGATCCCAACTTAATAAAATTTATGAATTAAATAATTCATGATAGAAACCACCCAAGAAAGTGGATCTTGATATTCTATTTTAAAATCTTGGGCTTTGGTTCTATAGTAGTTAAAATAAAGATTATGATTTTGATGATGGCTCACTCACCAAGACCTAATGATGAGCTCTAGCTTAATATAACTTAAATGAGTTCAACTTTATTTAGAAACGTTTGTTGAGCAGCTGCATGACAGGGAATATTATTGTAAGAAGATTCAGAAAAATGTTAACATATGGAGTATTATAATTTGTGATATAACAATGATTAAAAACAACATATTATGAAAATATAAAGAAGTGAAAATTTTTTATTCAAAATTTTTGAGTAGAGGTAGATCTTTATGCTTTCAAAGTGGGTAGAAGGGCATTCCAAGTGAGAAAAGAATTGGAGCAAGAATGCAAAGACAAATGCGTATACAGAGTAGTGAAGAAACAACAGAGAGACAAAATTGCTGCTACTTAGAATATGTAACTGACATATTAAGAGAAGGTGCCCCAGAAAATGATAGAAAAATGGGAAAGGACAATTGTAGAGAGCACTGATTAAATTTTTTCTGTTATTTATATTCCGAGGAAGGCCAAAGCTTTTGAGGAGAATGCTCCCATATTTCAGCAAGGTAACACATCTGTATCTAGAAATCTATTAGAATTTATAGGGACTGGATGCATTTTTTAAACACATCAACTACCAGTACCCTATTCTCTTACTTGCAGTCCTTGGGAAGAATTCTCAGTCATCTTCCTAATACTCAGGATGTATATGCTTACAGTAAATGCAATGTAGATGACTTTTTCTTTGAGGCATGCTTCTCATCCACTCATGTACCCCAAGGCAGCTAATATCAGAATCATTGATTGTCCCCTTTCCCTAAATTTCTACTTGCAAAAGTTGGTTATTTGCTTTATACAATTCTGGAAGACAAAGTTCAACAAATCATTTAGCTAGGTCTTATTAATCAATTAACTCTAATTCATGCGTTAAAAAAATAACAACGTATTATAAATCAAATCCTTCAGAGTTCACCTCTTTATCTCCTGGAAAAAAGAAATAATCAATATTATTTGTAAAGACTTTTCATTCAGAGTTTGCTACCTGCCCTCTTTTCCTTATCTCCAAGACAGATGGCCATAGAGAGAATAAGAATGCTTTATGTGTGGATCAGTCTAAGACTCCAAGTCAAAAATTAATAAGGTCTGGGACAAGTCACTAGGAAAGAAAAGAAAAAAAATAGAGATCCTCTAGAGGTACAGATTTAGAGCTAGCAAGATTGGTCAAGATTCATATTAATTATGAAAATAATTTGAATCTGAAATGTCTCAGGGAGACTGCCAAAATCAGAGTGAGGTAAGTGCCTGAATGAGGCACGTATACCAGAGGCTACAGCAGAGAAGGAAGAACAGCTGAATAATGAAAAGGAGCCATAACATAGAAGAGACAAACCAAAAGAGTGTCATGAATTTTATAAAGAAGGTCATCAACATCACCATATGTTAGGGAAGGAGATCTTCCAATGTGAGCATGAAGAAGAGAAGCATGTGCTTTAACCAGAACTGGTATATTGTGTGACTCATGGTCAGCTCATGGTCATGCCACAACAGCCATAATCACTGCTTGCGGTCAACCACTGCTAGTCTGTTTTCTAACCTCATCTGTAATTGTCAAGTCTAAAACCAATCTGCCATGTTCTTATTAGGAAATCTCTAGCATCAGAATTATCATGCTGACTGTCCCAATGAAATTAAGTACTAAGTATATATTATGCTATTTTCTCTCTTAATGACTTCCCTGAATAATGAAACAAGGAGAGAAGAATGGCATTCTTTTTAAATAATCTATCTCAAATATGCAGGCATTCAAATAGCTTTTGGTGGGAAGAGGGAAGATGCAAAAAAATTAAAAATCCCTAGCTGAGCACTGAATTTTTTTTATCAGTGTTTATGCTACTCGCAAATCACTTGTCTTCTCCACCCTCTATCAAATCTCTTGCTTCTCAAGTTTTTCCAAGTGTCATTAGATATCTCAAGAAAAGTGAAAAGATAAATAACTGTTATATTAGTGGACATTTAGAGCAAACTTATCTGCCTGGTGTGATTGTTCAGTTTGGCTACCAAGGTCACTGAGAAACACTAGGTCTTGCTTGGGTTGGCACCAGCTGAACAGGCAAGCAACATAAACTATGGGTGAGAATAGATCAGCGTTGTGCTCAGTCCCAGAGGACAGGCAACCGGATGGTTCTGCCTCGCCAGATGACCAGCCATGGACATAACTCTAAATAGGAAAGTGTGTTTCTCAGCCTTCCCCAGAGATACTGAGATCAATGTTCCATGGACAAGCCCACTGAACTGTCATTAGAGCAGATGGAAGCCAGAGTTCCCATCCTCCACAGGCTTCAGAGTTATTAAAGTCGTTCTTTGGGTTAGTAAGACTTGAAACTCTCAGTCGTCTCTATATCCTGCTCAAGCCCTATCTGGTTGGCGGGGGGCGGGGGGGTGGGGTGAATCACAAAAGTAAATTAAAATGGAAACATTTCATTAATTTAAATAGAAAATCTGTGGTGTTCCTGCTCTATACATATAGACACCCCTCAAAATCCCCATCTCTTTCAATGCTCCCAATGTCTGTTCATTCTTTTTTCTGGATGCCATTAGTTGGTTTTATCTTAATATTTCCTTTATTCTAGGATGCAGCCAAGTTAGAATATCCTTTTCCAATTTTAAATTCTAAAGAACGAACATCTCTACTTGCACTGGGGGGAGCTGTGCCTATGTCCCATGTAATGAAACCCTGATGAGAATCTGATATTCTGAAATATAGACTCTTCTTCCTGTAACCAGATGTGACCTTTGAGGATTTAACTGTTAAAGGAGCTAGAAATCACAGGAGACCAAGTAAGGCTGCTAATTGCACTGTTGTGTTGAATATTTTAGATTCTTCGTGTTTTCTAAGATATTGCAAAGAAACTATTTTTCTCTGCCTATAGTAATCAATACTAATAAACTACTCTCTAATGTGTTTGTCAAAATTTTTAGTTTCGTGAATATACTCTGTAGACCTTAGGAAAGAAAAAGAAAGAGTGAGTAAATATTCTTTTAGGGAACTTTCACAGATAAGTAGCTTCTGATTGAGGAATAACACGAAATTTCAAAAATAGAGACTCACTTAAGAATGCCTCCTTTAAAAAAATACCTGGAATTTCACACACACTGATGATCAGATAAAAGTTCTGCCCGATTTTATATTTATTGTCAGACCTCTTGAATCGTTCACTCTTTTGGGCTTTTATCAAATCATTCCCAACACTTCCTTTAATTTTTACTTATACTTCCAACCCTTTCCCAGTTTTCTAAATGGTTCAAACACTTAGCATGCTAATATGATTTAAATATACTTTGATATAGATAAGAGATGATATGTTTACTCAGAAGAAATTGCCAAATCAAATTATGATTTTAAAACTCTTATAACTTAAAATAAGACAGATCTTCATTTTCAGCCACCAGAACTTCCAATTATATTCCTGCCCTTCTTAGTAGGTATTATCAATGGTTTACTTGTGTAGTATAGTAGTTATTTGAATGTATGAGGAGTGTAATTAAAAATGTTGAATATTTCTAGTTTTTATTGTCATGTTTCTGATTACTCATGGAAGTTAAGGCCTGCTAAAGTAGAAAAGTCATTTGTGTTTATTGTATGGCAGTAAATAAGCAGTAAAATTTACCATCATATAATAGTTTATTCAAAGATCACATTGAAAATTTAGGGGTAGACTGCTATCATCTACTTGGCACAAATGCTTTGGCAAATTGGAATAAAATCTGCTTATACTGTTTTAATCTTGTACATCAACCTTTACTTATAGGTCATTGGAAGCTCCAAATGGGGAAGAGGAAAGGAAAAGTCTCAGAATAGAGTCTTCTAAGACTCTATACATTACTGTCTTTCACTTTAAACTCTCAGTCTGATTACAATTCTAGTAGAAAAGGTTCCACTGGAAACATCTGTAGATTCAAACTTCTAATAACTTTAATGATGGCTAGTAGCATATGAAGTCATGGAAATTTCAACTATTATGATGCATCCCTCAAAAAGTATTAAAATAAAATGTTAGCCAAATACCCAAATGAAATTTGGTGTTTCTTTTTTTCTGGCAAGACTTTCTCTAAGAATTTTCTTTGCCAACAAATTATAAAATGAATTTTGAACATGGAGATATTTGCATTTTATTCTTTAGTTGGTGATTAATTTGGCTTACTTTTTTTGAAATTCACTAAATAAAGGGAATTTGCTAAAAATAAAAGCAAATATCTAAAAACAATAAGTTTTTACAGCAGAGGGGTTATATATTTTCCCCTACTCTGAGAAAAAAAATGAGTCCTAGAGACATTAAATCAATAATCTCAGGTTAAACATAACAATAAAAAAGTAAGAATCTTCTAAATCCTTGTCAAATACTCTTTCAAATACATCATAAATATCAGCTTGCTAAAAGTTTGCCCAAGGAATATCTATACAACAAGGTATCCAATTTTTAAGTCAAATCCAAGTAATTATATATATTTGAAATTTGTAATAAGGAATTAAAATATATAATTCAGATGTTTCGTGTTAAAAAACTACACACTACTTGTTTCATAAATATTAAACAGCAACAAAATAAAATTAGAAAAGGTATAATCATGAAAAATATTAGTAGAAAACTAGAAAAAATAATAGTATGAAATTCAACCATGGATGTCTCATATTTATGAAACAATGAGAGGTAAAACTAAAGAAACAAATAAAAACACAACTGCAAAAGTTGAAATTAAAATTTGTCTCAGAGCTTACTGGAATTCAAGGTTAAAAGAGAAATATTATTGGCAGAGTGACATCAGCAAGATGATAGAATAGGGGTTTCCAGTGCTCATTCTCTCACAGAAACTTTAATTTGAATGACTATCCATGCATAAAAATATCTCTACAAGAGCTAGGAAATCCAGGTGAGAGATTACAGTACCTGGTTAGAGCACAGAAACAAGAAAAGATACATTGAAGAGGGTAGAAAGAACAGTTTCACATTATCCAGATCACCCCTCCCCAGACCTGCACAGCATGAAAGAGATACCCTTCACATAGAGGAAGGGGAGTAAAGTGAGCACTCAATTTTGCTTTGGACCCCTGCACCAGGCCTAATCCAGTGAGTCCTTATGCCAGGCCAACCCCTATGGGCCCATACTCCAGGCTGGCCTCTCGAGCACAGGCTCCAGGCTCACCCCAGTGCCAGACCAGCCACCCTGGTTCCAAGTCTCAAAGTCCATACCTGTAGCACCAAGATCCAGGCTGGTCCCCTTGGCTTTAGTCTGGCCCCTGAGGACTCAGACACAATGGCTATCCTTGGACAAGGTCAGTTCCTACAGTCCCAGATTCTATGTCTGTAAGCTCCAGGCCTACTCAAGTGGACCCAGGCTCCAGGCACACTCATGTGTTCAGGTGTGAGGGCTGGCTCTTGGGGACCCAAGAACCATGCTTGCCCCACTGCTGGCCAAGTCACCAGGCCAGTCTACCTAAGGAATCTAGCAGCAAGCCCACCCATGGTTCCTGCCAGCTGTCCTACCTGTAATTTTTGGAGAGTTTTCTAGTGAAGAGCTTTCCTGCCAAAACCACTGTGTAAAATCTAAAAAAGGTGTCTACTTCTTCAAATCCAAAGACATCAATACAAAACCACAATAATCTCAAATAATCAAAGAAACATATCACAACCAAGGGAACAGAAGACTTGATCAGGTAGAAGAAAAAAAAAATGACCAACTTCAAAGACAGGTCATTTGAAATTACCCAGTCAGAGGAACAAAGTGAAAAAAGAGGAGAAAGCCAATGGGACATATGGAAACCATCCAGCAAACTAATATATGCTTTATGGACATCATAAAAGGAACAGAAAGAGAGAAAAGGGTAAAAACATATGAGGTCAGGAGTTTGAGACCAGCCTGACCAACATGGAGAAACCCCATCTCTACTAAAAATACAAAATTAGCCGGGTGTGGTGACACATGCCTGTAATCCCAGCTACTCAGGAGGCTCAGGCAGGAGAATTGTTTGAACCTGGGAGATGGAGGTTGCGGTGAGCCAAGATCATGCCATTGCGCTCCAGCCTGGGCAACAAGAGCAAAACTCCATTTCAAAAAAAAACAAACAAAAAAAAAAAACAGAAAAGAAAGAAAGAAATAATGATGGAAAATTTCCCAAATCTGCTGAGGGAAATGAATATTCAGATTTATGCAGCCCAAAGAACCACAAATAGATTAAACATAAAGGTATCTTCACTGAAACACACTATAATTAAATTATCAACAGTCAAAAATAAAGCATTCTAAAAGTAGTGGAGAAAAACAACTTGTTACATAGAAGGGAATCTCATTACACATATGCATATTTCTCAGTAGAAACTTTGCAGTTAGGAGACAATGAGATTATATATTCAAAGTACTTAAAGAAAAAAAAATTGGCACCCAAGAATACTATACCCTACACAGCTATCCTTCAGAAATGAGAGATAAAGAGTTTCTCAAACAAACAAAAGTTGAGGGAGTTCATCACCACTAGACCTGCCATATCAAAAAGTTTTTTTAAAAGTTCAAGTTGAAATGAAAGGATACTAACTAGCATGATAAAAATGTATACAAGCTTATAACTCACTATAAAGGTAAGAATTTACTTAAATTCAGAATACTATAATACTTTAAAGATGGTACACAAATCACTTTTATCTCTAGTATAAAATTAAAAGATGCAAGTATTAAGAATAATTATAGGTAGAATAATTTGTAAATAAATACATAATATGATACTATGTAAATTGTGACATCAATAACAAACATGAAAAGAGCAGTAAAAATGTATAGTTTTTCTATGCAACCAAAGATGTTATAAAATTAAAACAGACTGTTACAACTATGAGATGTTTTATTTAAACCTCATGCTAACCAAATAAAACAAACAAAAAAACACCTTTAGTAGATATACAAAAGGTAAAGGGAAATGAATCAAAGCATGTCACTGCAAAAAACAATCAAATCACAAGGAAGATAGCAACAGAGGAAGAGAAGAAGCTAAAGACAGTAAGAAAATTTTAATAAAATAGCAAGAGTAAGTCCCTCTAGCTATCAATTACTTTAAATATACTTAGAATAGAATGTTCCCAATACAAAGAAATGATAAATGTTTGAGATGATGAATATGCTAATTACCCCAATTGGATCACTATATATGAATCAAAATATCACTACATACCCCAAAAATATGTACAATTATTTTATATCAAATAGAACATTTAAAGAAGAAATAAAACACTTCTGGAAGGAATTGAGAAAAATTGGTATTATTTCTTCCTTAAATATGTGATGGAATTTAACTATGAAACTGTCAAGACCTAAAGTTTTTCTTGTAAGAAATTTTTTTACTACAAATTTACTTTCCTTAATAGATTAAAAAAACTATTCAGATAGTCTGTTTCCTCTTGAATAAATGTTGGTAGGTTGTATCCTTCAAGAAACTAATTTGTTTCACTTAATTATATCAATTTATGGGTACATATTTTTGTCACAGAATCCTTGGGGTGTCGCTTTGCCAGCAGGAAAACTCTGTGGTCAGTGGTGCCTTTGCCCACGTTTTGCTCTGGCCTGCTGGGCTTATTCCACTGACTCAGCCTGGCAGGCTGCACTTGGTTCATGCTACTGGCCTGGATCCCACACCTGCAAAGGACGAGCCAGGTGGTATGTGAGTGAGCATGGGGTCTGGCTACTGCGCACAGCCAGGCATGCCAGCTGCAGTGGGGTGGGCAGCTCCAGGCACTGGAATAGGTTTTGGCTCCCTGCAAGACTGCAGCTGGACCAGGTATACCATAACCAGCTTCTGTGTCTGACACTGGGGAATGCAGAGGTGCCCAGAAGCTTGGAGATGTGAGGAACCACAGAGCACTAAAAAGAGTGTCACACTCCTGGCTAGGGGAGCTCCTAGGTCTGGGCTCCCAAAAGGGCAGCAGCTCTTCTCTCCATCTCTCTCCTCTCCTTCTTGTCACCCTCAATGTGGCAAGCAAGGGGCATATTTCAGCTGTTTGGTTTACAGCTTTTTTAGCCCCACCATTCCCAAGTCCCTGTCCTGCATCCAAGAAGAATCAGGTGTGCAGACAAGTAGAGGGTGAGCAAGACAAAGGGGAAATTTATTGAGCAATGGAACAGCTCAAGAGGAAACTGACAGGGGCAGCTCCTCTCTGTACCCAGGGTGACCTGACAAGTGTTCAGCTCTCAGCAGAGAGGAGACCCTGGGGTGGTAGCTCGTCTCTGAGGCTGGTTGTCCCATTGTCTCCTTAAGTCTAGCTGAGTCCAGGGCTTTAGTGGGCCTCAGAGGAGAGGAAATGCGTGCTGATTGGTCTATGGGTGGCCACAGGTGGGCCCGAAAAAAGCACCACAGGCTCCCATTCTGGTCCATGGGACTGGCAGCCTGGTCCCTGGGCTTCAGGCCTTCCCAGGCTTTAGGGTGGGGCTTCACTGGGGACCCACCTCTTTCCATCCAGGAGCTTGTCTGCCTATTACTGCTGTTTATGGTACCCAGGCTATTCATGCAAAGGGGTACCTACAGGCCAGCTGCCAAGTTGCTCTCAGCCTCCTCCCAGTGCTTGTCGGTGCTCAAAATCTGGAGGGGGCTGAGGTTGCAGGGGGCTGGCATGTCAGTGCTGCCCAGAGCATGTGCACACCTGCCAGGTTGCAACAGCACCCAGGCTTGGCCTCAACTTTGCTCCAGACTTGGAGCAGGTGCCAGGAATGGGGAGAGGCCAGACAGCCAGAGGAGGCACTTTCAGGCCTGCAGGGATGGAGGGGGTTCCCACATCCCCAAAAGTGCAGAGGTGCCCAGGTCCACAGCCATGGCTTCAGCGGTTGCAGCTGCACCCGGGAGGGCAGAGCTACTGTCTGCCATGCTTGGTGGCTGCGTGCAGGTGGGTGCAACCATGATGAAGCCCTGCTTGACTAGGCTGCCCCATTGGCCATCAGAGGCTAAGGACATCAAAGCTTACTCCAGAGGGTCCAGTGTCACCAAGCCCCACTGCTGCTCTCCTGCTCCGTGGATGATGAAGCCACTGATGTGCTGTCCAAGTCACGTCTGCACCTGCTGTATCCTCCCTGGAGGAGCCTCCCTGGGCTGCTGTCCCCAAGACCCATGGTCCTGCATGGAGATGCCCTTCCCCAGGTTGTGGAAACTCTGGGGGTCTTCGTCATGGTGGTCCTGGAGAGCTTCCCTGTTCATCTATTCGCAGCCTGGGGCAGGGGCTCCAGGTCTTTGGCTGGGCCCAGGCTGGCGTCTAGGGCAGGGGTGACATCACCATGAGTTCTTCCTGTGGCCCCAGTGGTCCGGGGAGGCCCAGGGCTCCCTGTCACCCACATATGGCCCTGCCCAGGGGTGGGTGCCTCTGGGAGTGGATCATGGGCCCTGGGCCCAGCCGTCAGGAGTGTCAGGCTCGACGATCACCTCAATGCAGGGCAGATCCTGGGGATGCACTCTCCAGCGACACCGCACAGAGCTTCTTCCCGAGGTACAGGAACTTGGTGCCTTCGGGCAGGTGCTTGTGGGCTCCTGGGACGTGGTAGGGAGTGAGATGGAGGCTGCAGCAGAGGCTCCAGGCCTGGGACTGGGTCCTGCCCAGCCATGGGAGGGTGGGGGTAGTGCAGTCAGGTGCCTCAGAGATGAAGGGGCTCAGGGGACTCGTCTCTGCTGCTGCTGCTCGCACAGCTGTTCCTGCCACCTGCACCCCACTCCTCCCCATTGCAGCTGGCGTGCTGGCAGCGGCCACTTCAGAAGGCCTGCCACTGCCATCATTTTTACTTTCAGTATTCTCTTAGCATCATTTTAATATTTATGATGACTGTAGGGATGTTCTTTCTTTCCTTACTTATATTAAATTTAGTTCCTTCTCTTTGTTTCTTGGTTAGTCTGCATAGAATTTAGATGATATTATTGACCTTTTTAAAGAACACATTTTGCTTTCATTGATTTTCATTTTTTTATTCTTAATTAAATTGGTTTATTATCATTATTAAATATACATGTAATTAGATTAATTTTTCAATTAAAAGATAGAGTGGCTAAATGAATGAGTGAATAAGAAGACATTACAACTGATACCACAGAAATACAAATGATCATAAAAGACTACTCTCAACAATTATATGTCAACAAACTGAATAACCTAAAAAAAATAAATTCCTATAAATACACTGCCTAGACAGAATCATTAAAGAATAGAAAATCTGAACAAACCAATAATGAGTGAGGTGACTGAATCATTAATCAAAAACTTTCT
The DNA here is from genome assembly GCF_000001405.40 of Homo sapiens. NCBI lineage: Eukaryota > Metazoa > Chordata > Mammalia > Primates > Hominidae > Homo > Homo sapiens. The sequence continues at coordinate 57,851,489 of NC_000002.12, forward strand.
CCTTCCTCAAAAAAAGCCCAGGACCTGATAGCTTTACCGATCAATTTTAACTAACATTTAAAGAACAACAAATACTCATCTTTCTCAAACTCTCCCAAACAACTGAAGAAGAAGGAACACTTCCAAACTCATTTTGTGAGGCCATCATTACCCTGATAGCAAAATTAGACAAGGACACTATAGTAGCAAGTAAACAAATAACCCAATTACAAAGTGGGCAAAAGACCTAAATAAGACATGTCTCAAAAGACATACAAATGGTCAAAAGATATATGCAAATCTCCTCAACATCACTGATCATCAGGGAAATGCAAATCAAAATCACAATGAGATATCACTTCACATCTCTTAGGACAGCTATTATCAAAAAGCAGAAAGATAACAAGCTTTGGTAAGAATGTGGAGAAAAGGGAACTCTTGTACACTGTTGGTGAGAATGTAAATTGATACAGCCATTATGGAAAACAATATGAAGGTTCCTCAAAACATTAAAAATAGAACTACCACACGATTCATCAATCCCATGTCTGGGTATATATCCCAATGAAATAAAGTCAGTATGCCAAAGATATATCTGCACTCCCATGTTTATTGCTGCATTATACACCATAGCCAAGCTATGGAATCAACCTGTGTCCATAAATTTTAAAAAATAAAGAAAATGTGGGGTATGTATTTGTGTGTGTGTGTATACATATGTATACAAGAGTACTTCAAAAAGTTTATGGTAAATACATATTATGAAAAAACTATGTATGGATTTCAATTTTTTTTTGCACTAAAATAAACATACGAACTTGTTATAACATGCCTGATCAGGATCTAGTTTGAGGCACTAAAAAGGATATCAGTTTGGATAAGTATTAATATAAGACAGCTTTCTGATGGTGTAGCTTGACTCAAGAAAATAACTCAGTTGCTAGAAAAGGAATGGTAATGAGGTTTCATCTCCAGGGCCAACTCTGACCACTTTCTTAGCCTAGAAAAAGAGCTGTACTCAATTATTCATGTCTGCCACAATCACAGGACAGGACAGGGAAAATAGTAGCACAAGTGTCATATACTTGTCCATGACTAACTAGAGCATGGGATGATCTACATATTCCTCATATAGTCTTCTGTAAATATAATTTATCTCATGTAGACTCATGATCAGGATTGGAGTACCCATAATGCCATATTTAATTCTCCAGTGAAAACATACAATGTTGTGATTCTCAATGCTGTGGCTCTCAATGGCTTGTTGAAGGTCGATCCAAAAGTTCCAGAGACCTACACAAGGAAGTGGTAAGTTTGAAATCTAAAAGTGAAACCTAAGCATCTAACTTGAAATTGCTTTTATTGTAACTTTGTTCTTTTCTCATTATATAACAAATATTTTCTGTGTTTAAACATTTAAAAAACAATGCAGGGAAGGATGGGAAAGGAAGAGAAAGGAAGGCAAAATACTCCAGGTTCCTCTTGTGTATTTCCTAACCTGGTTTTAGAAAAAAAGACATTTCTCCAAAAAGCCTTCATTACTTTTGTTGGAGAACGACACTAGAAACCAAGACCTGGGCTCTAGGCATGCCCATTGATACTGGTATGTGGTTTCCTATAAACCTTCTCAGCTGACAGAGCAAAAAACATGTGTCTGTATTAACCTGTGTATATAAATATAGCTATAAATTTTTAAATGTAACCATTTATATCTTTATGAAGCTATATTAAACATGAGTTTATACTAATGTCTTCAAGTGTAATCCATTACCCCATAGATTATTCTAGCTTCCTCCTCTTGCTTATATGCAGATTCCCACTCTAACAGAAACAAAGCTGTCCTTGCACCATCTGCCATCCATTTACTTAATTGCTCCATTGCAGTATACCTGCATAGCAAAATCAAAATTGTTAATCCAGACCCTGAAAAGAAGTAATTCTATTTACCAGAGTGTAGTGCTTACGTTCAGTCTCTTTCCTTTAGTCTTATAGACTCCACTTATTTCCATAAGTACTCAGGTCAACACCTTACTCCCAATCCCTTTCAGTGAGGATGTGTCATACATTTGTAATACAGCTAGATTCTTTAGACACTTTCTGCAATCTATACCTTGATCTCCCAACCTCCTAAATGTTCTTTAAATTTGCTACATCAAAATTCATTCTTTGTTCTGCAGTTCTATTGGTTTTGACAAATGTGTAATGCCTTGTATCCACCATTTCATATCATACAGAATAATTTTACTGCCATAAAAAAATCCCTTTTCACCCATTCAACCATTCCTATTTTCCTCAAATCTCTGTATCAGTTGTGATCACTGATCAGTTCTGTTTCTACGGTTTTGTCTATTCTAGAGTATCACATAATTGGAATCATTTAAGATATGTAGCCTTTTCATACTGGCTTTGTATATTTATTTACATACTTTGTATATTTATTTAATACTGGCTTACTAATATTTATTTAAGGTACCTTCATATCTTTTTAAAATGAATCAATAGCTTTTTTTTTTTTTTTTTTTTTTGGAGATGGAGTTTTGCTCTTCTCGCCCAGGCTGCACTGCAGTGGCGCGATCTTGGCTCACTGCAACATCTGCCTTCTGGGTTCAAGCAATTCTCCCGCCTCAGCCTCCCAAGTAGCTGGGATTACAGTCACCCACCACCACGCCTGGCTAATTTTTGTATTTTTAGTAGAGACGTGATTTTGCCATGTTGGCAAGGCGGGTCTCGAACTCCTGACCTCAGGTAATCTGCTCACCTTGGCCTCCCAAACTGCTGGGATTATAGGCGTGAACCACTCTGCCTGGCCAATAGCCCTTTTCTTATTGGTAAATAATATTATATTGTATGAATATACTACAGCTTATTTATGTGTTTGATAAAGATATAAAAATAAATTCCATTATTTAAAAAACTTTTATTTAAAAAATAAACATGCTGGACCTGGTAAAAAGTGTTTGGCTTTTTAAGCTCAAGGTTTAAAATAATTTAAATGCTACATGTTTTAATAATTCTAAGAATTATTTGAAGTTTCTATATATTATAAATCAAAATGCCTATAAAACTAACTGAAATGTTATTATAAATATGATTGTATTTTAAGTTACTAAAGTTCAGGTATGGTTTATTTCAGAAAATATGTCTTTACTGATCCAGAGATAACTGATATGCTCAAATGAGATGGACAGAACAAAGACCTTTAAATATTAAAGGTGTTGAAAAATATTTTTCCTTTTATGTGATACTTTAGTCTCTTGGTTTGAGGCTATGATCCTGGTGTGTTTGAACAAAGAAATAGAGAACTGGACCCACCTTAATTTAATAAAGGGTGGTTTTTATATATTTACAAATATAAAAAAAGAGGCATCAAAGAGGGACAAGACAACCCAATGGCAGTCAATATCCGCCTAAGAAGGATGTCTAAATGCGATGGAAAGAAATTCCAGTGGCCATCCAACCCCTTAGGGTCCTGGTTGGATTAGGAGATGGACCACATTCACATAGATTTAGCAAAAGAAAATATTTTGAGCATAATGAGAGCAAGCTTTCCATATTTCAAAGAAACTGTTTTCTGTTATAATTATTTTGTGAATAGGTACTTTGAGACTATGTAAAATTCCATTCCTCATTCTACTTGCTCCCATTGGTTTTAGCCTCTCTTTATGTTTCTTGCCTAAACTACTTATTATAATGATGGCTGCCAAATGGTGACTTTCTAATCCTACAACACCTTCCACATCTATTAGTTGACAGAGTCTACTGTAAGAATTTTTTTCCCTTTCTTGATTTGTTTATTAAATTTTATGAGCAGTGCATTAGTTTGTTCTCATGCTGCTATAAAGAAATACCTGAGGCTAGTTAATTTATAAAGGAAAGAGCTTTAATTGACTCACAGTTCAGCATGGCTGAGACTAGGTAATTTATAAAGGAAGGAGGTTTAATTGACTCACAGTTCCACATGGCTCTGAGGAGGCTTCAGGAAGCTCACAATCTTGGCAGAAGGAAAAGGGGAAGTAAGGCACTTTTTTCACAAGGCAGCAGGAAGAAGTTCCTAGCAAAGGGGGAAGAACCCCTTATAAAACCATTGGATCTCATGAGAATTCACTCATTATCCCAAGAAAAGCATGGGGGAAAGTGCCTCCATGATTCAATTAACTCCACCTGGTCTCTCCCTTGAAACATGGGGATTATGGGGATTACAATTCAAGATGATGTTTGGGTGGAGACACAAAGCCTAACAATATTATTCCTCCCCTGGCTGCTCCCAAATCTCATGTCCCTTTCACATGTCAAAACCAATCATGCCTTCTCAACAGTCCCCCAAAGTCTTAATTTATTCCAGCATTAACCTAAAAGTCTAAGTGCAAAGTCGCATCTGAGGCAAGGCAAGTCCCTCTGCCTATCAGCCTGTAAAATCAAAAGCAAGTTAGTTACTTCCTAGATACAATGCGGTTACAGGCATTGGGTAAATACACCCATTCCAAATGGGAGAAATTGGCCAAAATGAAGGGGCTGCACACCCCATGCAAGTCTGAAATCCAATGGGGCAGTCAAATCTTAATACTCCGAAATAATCTCCTTTGACCCCATGTCTCACATCCAGGTCATGCTGATGCAAGACGTGGGCTTCCATGGCCTTTGGCAGCTCTGCCCCTGTGGCTTTGCAGGGTACAGTCCCACTCCCGGTACCAATTTACTGTATTACTCTGTTCTCATGCTGCTATAAAGAAATATATGAGACTGGGTAACTTAAAATGAAAGAGGTTTAATTAACTCACAGTTCAGCATGGCTTGGGAGGCCTCAGGAGACTTAGATTCATGGCAGAAAGTGAAGGGGAAGCAGGCACGTTCTTCACAAGGTGGCAGGAAGGGGCAGTGCCAAGCGAAGGGGTAAGAGCCTTATAAAACCATCAGATCTCGTGAGAACTAACTCACTATAATGAGAACAGCATGGGGGAAACCACCCTCATGATTCAATTACCTCCACCTGATCTCTCCCTTGACAAGTAGGGATTATGGGGATTACAATTCAAGATGAGATTTGGGTGGGGACACAAAGCCTAACCGTATCACACAGTAACTCAAAGATTTCTATTTTATCCAAGAAGTTATATTCTTTCTATAATTGTTTATTTTCATGCTCAAAATATTGAAGATTTGGCATGCAGGAGTTTTTTAAGGCTTCCTCCTGTGTCCTTTTTAAAAATCCTCATGTTTTCAGAATCTCCACTCTTTCTGGTTGATCAAGATATTTCAAACTCATCTTACTCTTTTCTGCCCTAGCTTTAAAATTAGCTATTTTCCCAAGAAACCTTGATTCCTTTTAGTGGCCAGTGGCATTTCAAAATCAAGTTTCTTCACTGCTTAAGGTGTTAGTGCTCCCAGGGCCTCTCAGTGGACAGAGTTAAAATATATTTGTGGGTATATTTAAATATATTCACATATACATATGTATACACATATGGGCATCTTAATATTTGCAGTTAACTAACTGAAAACTAAGAGTTCACAGAAATGACTCTAGATCCAATTTAACACCTAAGAGTTTTTTCTAACTTTCTTCCATATTTTTACTTTGTTTATCCAACTATAAGAAAACTGGCTCCCATTATCCTCAGAATATTTTCTTATTTTTTTCAGTATATGTTAACGTACTCAATCTCCTGACTCCACTTTAACTAAATGATCAACATAAAACCTCACAGTAATGGGGCAAACTGACATGTGCCACCAGATACCATACAATGAGAAAACCAAAGCATCACTTCTGTGATATTCAGGCTCAAAATATATAGCCTGGGTTTAATCAGTTTGAACCTATCCAAATTGAGGAGCAGTTAAAATACCTGACCTTTAATCTTGAAAAATGTCAAAGACATAGTGGTCAAAAAAGACTAAAGAACTGTTCCAAGTTGACAAAGACTAGAATAAAAAAAGCCATGAAAAAAAAACTAGATAAAAGTAAGACAACTAGATGTAACTCATGATCCTACAGTGGATCCTTCTGCTATATAGCCAATTATTGAGACAATGGGCAAACTTAAGGTGTCTGGATGAAATCTAATATCAGAACTCTTTGTCTTATTCTTACAACTTTTCTGTAAGTCTTTAGTTGCATTTTTAAAAACTTTTGATTGTATTTTAACTTAAACATATGATTTGGTAGGTAATATATAGCATTCTATGATAATGATAAAGCTAATAAAAATGTTATGCATGATATAAAGGCAAAGGTAGTCTCTCAAACAGGAAAAAAATGGTTTTATAACACTAATGTTAGAACAAGGAAAACATAAAAGTAAAGTTAGAACTAAAGAAAAACACTGCATTTATTTTTATTTTTATAATTTCAACTTTTATTATAGATTAAAGGGTACATGTGCTGGTTTGCTACTTGGGTATATTGTGTGACACTGAAGTTCGGGGCACGAATGATCACCCCTTAGTAAGCATAGTATCCAATAGGTGTTTTTCAGTCCACACTTTCCTCCCTCCCTCCCCTGTCTAGTTGTCCCAGTGTCTATTGTTCCCATCTTCATATCTATGGGTATTCAATGTTTATTTAGCTCTCTCTTATACGTGAGAACACGTGGTATTTGGTTTTCTGCTCTTTAGTTAATTTGCCTAGAATAATGGCCTCCAACTACATCCATGTTTGCTGGAAAGAACCTGATATCATTTTTTTTATGTCTACATAGTATTTCATGATATAATATACTACATTTTCTTTATCCAGTTCACCATTAATGGGTACCTAGGTTGATGCCATATCTTTGATATTGAAACACTGCATTTAATAAAAGCCCTAATGTAAATTTGCTAGCTGTTCTCACTTGACCTTAATGTTAAATAATATTTTTACCCAGTGCTCATATTTTGATCATTTATATTAATTTCAACATAAAGAATGGACATCTCTTTGGAGAGGAGCAAATTCTACAGGTGGGGTATGAAAATTCAAGATATGGTTGGAAAATTTTATTTCAATATATGAAAGAAACTATCAAATATAGCTTCTATTGGTGTTAAAAAGAACAAATAAGCCATCTTAAAGGAATTCCCATTTCCAGTTTTTGTGGGATTGCATATTTGAATAAAAAAAATATATACTCAGGCCAGGGGCAGTGGTTCATGCCTGTAATTCCAGCACTTTGGGAGACTGAGGTGGGTGGACAAATTGAGGCCAGGAGTTTGAGACCATCCTGGCCAACATGATGAAACCCCACCTCTATCAAAATTACAAAAAGTAGCCAGGTGTGGTGGCGTGTGCTTGTACTCCCAGCTACTTTTACTTGGGAGGCTGAGGCAGGAGAATCGCTTGAACCCAGGAGGCAGAGGTTGCAGTGAGCCAAGATCACACCACTGCACTCCACAGAGTGAGACTCTGTCTCAAAAAAAATTAATTAATTAAAATAAAAATATATACATAAAACAGTATACTCAACTGGAGCAAACTGAGTCTATAAAAACCAAAGATACATGTATGCATGTGTTCATTGCAGCACTATTCTCAATAGCAAAGACATGGAATCAACCCAAATGTTCATAAATGATAGACTAGACGAAGAAAATGTGGTACATACGAACAATAGAATACTATGGATCTATAAAGAGGAATGAGATCATGTCCTTTGCAGGGACATGGATGAAGCTAGAAGCCATTATCCTCAGCAAACTAATGTAGGAACAGAAAACCAAACACCACATGTTCTCACGCATAAGTGGGAGCTAAACAATGAGAACACATGGACACAGGAAGGGGAACAACACTCACTGGGGCCTGTTGGGGGTAGGTTGGAGGAATAGAGAGCATTAGGAAAAATAGCTAATGCATACTGGGTTTAATACCTAGGTGATGGGTTGATAAGTGCAGCAAACCACCATGGCACATGTTTACCTGTGTAACAAACCTGCACATCCTGCACATGTACCCCAGAACTAAAAATAAAAATTAAAAGAAAAAAAACCACTAATCCATAATGTTACACAACAGATTGTCAAATGGAAAAATGTTTGCTACCTAGGAGACATATCTACCTCCTGAAAGAAATTGTACACTCCATTACCTAAAATATAAATAATTCATAACTTCAGTGGATATAACCAATCGCAAAAGGTCAAGTTGTAGACTGTGGAAGCAAACTGTGATCAAAGTTCTTAGATTAGAAATGGGCTAATGGAATACAATAGAGAGTCCAAAAATATATTCATAGACATATAAACGTTGGTTTACAACAAAAATAGCATTGAGATGAAGTGTGGAAAAGAACTTCATCAACTGAATAGTTAGGGGGAAAATGAACCCGGACCCCTACCTCATAATCTAAATAAAGATCAATTCTAAAGTAAATTAAGAATTCCTAATATGGAAGTTTAGAGGAAATAGTTTATATAGATAGATAGATAATGTTTATTATTTAAATAGTAATAAATTTTTAAATTAAAATTTTATAATAAAAAAATTTAATTTTTTATATAATTTTTTTAATTAAAAAAAAATTTTAAAAATATTTTAAATTGTATTAAAATTAAATTAAAACTCCTAAACTCAAGGATTCCTCCTGTCTCAGCCTCTTGAGTAGCTGGGACTACAAGCATGCACCCCATGCCCAGCTAATTTTTAATTATGTTTTGTAGAAACATCGTCTTGCTATATTGCCCAGGTTGGTCTTGAACTCCTGGTCTCAAGCAGTCCTCCTGTCTTGGCCTCCCAAACTGCTGGGATTACAGGTGTGAGCCCCCACACCTGGCCTTATTAATATGTTTATTAATATTTTAACTAAACAGAAAAGGTAAAATAATAAAAGATAGGAGAATACCTTATGACCTTGGCATGGGCAAAATTTCTTAAACAGAATACAGAAAGCATTAGTCATGAAGAAAAGGATCAATTTTATGAAAAAATCATTGAATTAAGAACTTTTTATTAAAAGACACCACATATCAAAAGGCAAAACACAGAATAGGAAAAGATGTCTGCAATATATTTATATAACAAGAGATTCCTACCCTGAATATATTAAGACAACCTAGAAATAAATAAGAAAATTACAGAAATGGAGAAATGGGCAAAAGATCTGAAAAGATACTTTGCAAAATACTTTATCCACATGGCTAATAAGCAAATGAAAAGATATTCAAAATAATTAGTTACTAGATAAATGCCAATTAAAACCACAGTTCTGTACAATTACATATCTATCAAAATGGCTACAATCAAAATGATTAACGATCTCAAGTGTTGACAAGAATGCTAAACAATTGAACCTATCAAATACTGCTGATGATTACATGGATATATTCAATTTATAAAAATTCTTTGAGCCACGTACCTAAGATTTGTGTATTGTCGCATATATAAGTTAAACTTAATTACAAAAATTTACACAAGTATTTATCAATTGAAGAGTGATTGTGTTTTTATAATATTAATATTTCTTATTCAAAAGCATCATATATATTTCTATTTGTTCCAAACTTGTTTCATGTTTGTTACTTTTTTTTCTTTCCACAAAGGTCCTATTTATTACTCATAACATGAACTTAACATAGGATATTTGCCTGAATGGAAGACTGTCATCTCAGTACAAGATGTGTTGTGGCGATCTGGCATGCAATTTTTTCAGATTGGCCTTCTCCTCACTTACTCAATTCTATGCAAATAGTACTATAAATAACAAGTAAATTTCTCACTTGAGATAATGAACAAATTTTAATGTGGTCTGAAAACTGATAAAGCACTTCAGAAAACTTCAATGCAACTCTGGTGTAATTATATGAATTTCAAAATATATTTAAAGCAATTTTGTTGCTAGTAAACCTGATAAGCATATTATAAATTTCTAGAAATGCCTATGGGGGAGTTAATTTTATACAGTGTAAAGTCTCAAAAAGATCAAGAAAATCACCTACATAAACTCCATTATGTTAATACAGAAATACTTAGATGACAGAGAGTGCTATTTTTGTTCAGCTCTGAAAAACATTCAGAAGGGAAGGAAGGGGAGAATTGAAAATGCTAAGGCTGTGGAGTCATGGATACCTGAATATGAAATAAATGTCCTTCTTGTTCTAGGAATGGAATTGTGAAAAGCATACACACTCACACACACACACGTATACAAGAACTTAAGTTCCCCCAAAATGTTACATTAATATAAAAATTACTAGAATGCTATAGACAAATATAGACTTTAAAAAATGTTTTAGTCTTACACAAAATAATTTTTTTATTCAAGAATATGCCTCCAATTTTATGAAAACGATTAGTGGGAAAAAATGCAATACAGGTTGAGTATGCCTTATCCAAAATGCTTGGGACCAGAAGTGTTTTGGATCTCAGATTTTTTCAGATTTTGGAATATTTGCATATATATATGCAAATATATATATATTTATAATATATATGTGTGCGTATGTGTATGTGTGTGTGTATAAATATACACACACATAAAATAAGATATCTTAGGGATGAGACCCAAGTCTAAACATGAAATGAAATTTATTTATATTTCATATAAACCTTATTTACATAGCTTGAAGTAAATTTACACAATATTTTAAATAATTTTGTGAATGAAACAAAGTTTTGACTGTGACCTGTCACATGAGGTCAGGTATGGAATTTTCCATTTGTGGTGTTATGTCATCACTCAAAAAATTTCAAATTTGGGAGCATTTTAGATTTTGGATTAGGGATGGTCAACCTGTACTTTTCAACGCAAATAGCTTCATGCCCAAATTTAAAATAAGCTGTATGTTATATGAAGTTTTATAATTGCAACCAATTCAAGAAATAGGCAATGTTACTGAGAGCTCCTCCAGGGCAAAGACCACAGGTCATTTATCCCCAGTGCACACCGTAATGTATGGCACACACAAGATACCTGACTAATGTTTACTGAATGAGTAAAGATGAGATAATAAGAAAGCAATTGAAGAAAGTTACTGGAGATGGGAAGCTGTCTTTCATTAGGTAAGTTTACTATTTCTATTATTGTAACTGCCTTTTTAAGCCTGTTTTTAAGAACTGAAGTCAAACCAAGACATCAAGTACTGACAAACTGATCACTCAGTTCAAAGTGAATTTTGAAACACTTGTGAAAAATTCATCTTTCCTTCAAATAACAGTACAGAGCAAAATGTATACCCTTCCTTGCAGACAAATGAGTTACTACTAAAAGATCAAGTAGTTTAACCAGGATTTGATTTCCTTCGAAATGTGTACTATCAGTTGGAAGCCTACGGTTTCTTTTGGCATTTTGGGTATCAAGCCCCCTTTCTTTATAGTTTTTTAAATGTTGAAGAAAGAACTGTACTGTGTGTGGAAAATAGGAGAAAACATCCAGCAGAAGCTAGTTCTCACAAAAAATGCCTCAAATACCATTTAAGTGATTTACAGAGTAACTGCACTAATCCCATAAACTGATTTGGGATTAGCTTTGTGAAAGGTGAACAGGGCAGATTTATATCCTAGCTGAAAGCTTCAAGCTAGGAATCAATTTGGACAGACTTTGTTCTTTCATTCCTTTTGAGTGCAAGAGCAGCTTGCACTTGGCTCTGTGAGAAATCTAGAAGAGTTGTCTTTAGTTCATGTCTTCTCTATTTGCTCTACAAACAGAAGCCACCCTCATGAGCCCACAGAAAACTCTGGAGAAAACATTAGGCCTTGACAGTAGCCTAAAGATCGGAGACAAGAACTGACAGAATAATTAAAATATACGTGTAAGGATAAGTTTTCTTTTTCTTTTTCTTTTTTTGATATATACTATTATTCTAGGAGCTACCAAATTTGAAAAATATAAACCTTCCAAGTTTTTTAAAGTTCTGTAAAACAGTGAACCCATGTATCTGGTGTGTGGAAAAGGCAAAGAGAGAGCAGAGAATATCTCTGCAGTGTTGTAGTCTGCAGGATGCATGTTTTGGTACCTACATATTCAAAAATACTAACTTGTACATTTTGATCTTCTATTTTCACTTTCCTGAGTCTAAAAGTTTCTTGTTTTTTAAGAATCCTCTATGGAAATGCAGATATATCCCTTGAATATCCAAGTGAATGTCCTTGTCAGTTAACTTCCAGGTACCAAATCAGAACTTTGAAGAATTAGGGTATAGAGAAACATGGCGTGTTATGTCAAAAACAAGGAAACAGGCTGAGATAATTTATTATCTACAAAAATTGTAAAATATGATTCAGTTTTATTTCCTTTACTTGAACCTGAAGTCATGTTAATGCCAATTTCAGTGAAAAGTTGACCCCAAATACATTGAGCCAGAAGCAAAGAAATAACATCTAAAAATAAACCTGTTCACAATGCACTTCCATTCTGTCTAATCCCAACAATTGCTACATGAGAATGATTGGAAACAGCTCTTTCTTACTCTTAATAGTACCTATTTATGTATAAAAGTTTCATTTTTTCATGCTGTGTGGTTAAGAATCTTTAGTATAAAAACAATATTCTCAGGAATAAGAATTACAAAAGCAGAGCTCTTCTTAATATAAAGTGATATAAATTCAAGGACTGGGGTAGAATTACCTGCTCACAACTCAGAACACTGCTGAATGTGTGGCTCATTCCATTAACACTGTACCTTCACAACTAAGAAATAGTTGAGGAAAGAAGACCTTTTCCTGGATTTGGGGTATCTGCATTCAAATATATGAAATCATTTTCCCATTTATTTCAAAATGGCAATTTCTATTATACTGAAAGTGCATTTCTAAACGCACATTATCTGATAAGCTAGCAATGTCTTCCCTTATGTATTGCTTCATTCAGAATACTGAGAATGAAAAACTGTTTTGGAGGCTGTACAATACCATAAAGGAAACTATCAACTCATATTTCCATGCTCTCCCATTGTTTTTTGTAATACATTCATTTAAAAATATTTAAAGATAAAGATAATTTTAATCTCTTATTTTAGCTATTAGATCTTCATTTCTCATTTTCTAAACTCTACTAACAAGAAGCCCAACATGTATTAACCACTTGAAGAAATATTTTTAACCTATCTTTGCTTTCTATACTCAAGTTGGGTATTCTAAATATACTTACTTAAGCTATTGTCCCAGTAACCTCAGGAATCAATTCTACACTTTAGCATTCATGCTTTATGCAATTGTATTATGCAAACAATTTTAACAGAAAATTTTAGGATAAACTGAAAGGAGCTAGAAGTAGAGATTGGGAAAGCAGTCAAGGATAGAAACATGGAAAGGAGATTCATGACTCTGACCTCAAGAGACACATAAAGCTAATCTAGGTAGCTAGAGGACAGTTGTGCAGGATTATTTTTAAGATAGTGGTGAATTATAAGAAATACCTGTGTATGTCTCCACATCTTTAATTAATATAAACTTCATTTTGGAGTCCTGTCCACTTTTTTTAGAAAAGTAACTTTTGGTTACTTAACACTTCAAATATATCCAAGTTAAATTATTTTCTAAATTTATTTTTGATACAAGGTAATTGATTTTCATATCGTGGATATTGATTTTAAACAATAATCAAAAATACAAATAAATGTTCACTAACATGACTTTAGGAGTATTTCATTCTATTTCAATTCTGTGAAAATTATAAACCTATCCATAGCCTATGTGGAAACTGTTCACTTGTATAGTTTTTATTACCTAGAACAGGGGTCAGGAAACTATGACTCATGGGCGAAATACAGTCTGTACTCTATTTTGTATGTGTTGTGAATCAAGAATTATCTTTTATATTTCTAAGGGGAAACAACAAAGCAGTTAGGAGGAAAAGAAAGAGGAAGAGGAGAATGGGGATGGAGAGACAAAGCAGAGGAGAAAGAAGGAAAGGAGGCAGGCACATGTCCACAAAGCTCAAAATATTTCCTATCTTTTCCTCTACCAAAACAGTTTTCTGGTTCTGATCAGATGATCACCCTCACCCAACAATCTAGAAATAATCCAAACTCCTGCACCAATAACACTGAACTTATATAACAATTTTATGTTCTATGTTCACAGAACACATGTGTAACCTATTCTCAAGACTTTCCCAAATTATTATCTCTTGCTCTCTCGTGTAAATCTATGAATTATTAGTTTTAGAGCTCCCTACTAAGTCTTCACCATTCACCAGTGATGCCAGGGTGGTGCTGGAGACTGTGGCAAATGCAGGACGTACTTGGACTCAGCCACTTCTGATCTTTCTTAACCCAATGTACTCTATTTGAATATCTGGTTTCAGTGACTTAAACATGAATTTAAAGCCAGTTGCTCCTAACAGCATCAGCTACCAGCCCCACTCCTTCCAAACCCTTTGTTTAGAGGTTCATTGAGCCTCTGAGCCTGTCACTGGGAGAAGTTCATTTTATTGTAACCCTATTTAAACCATATAAATACACTTTCAGTAACAAGTTGATGAGATAGCAGTGCCATCTAACAGCTGTAAAAGTTAATACCACAGATCTAATATATAGGTATTAATGAGAGAGTAATTCAGTGTTTTGTTCTTTTACTGAAAACTGACTATTTGAATTCAAGGGAGCCTAAGATATTCCTGTTGCTTCTTAAAATGATACTTGTTTTTCCTTTCTTTTGCTAAGGCATATCTTAAAGTAATTTTCTTTTACCCTGGGGTTCCATATTCAAATCAACTCAAGTCACCACTGACCATGTATTACCCCTCACAGTTGGTTAACAGAGTTAGTCCATACTGAACAGAACATGGAGATGTCTGGAACCCAAATTTGACTCAAATTGTCCATGTTGATTTGCCTTTATAGCTGTTTGAGAAGCACATGAAAGTTAAGTTATCCTAAAGTCCAAGATACCGGGATAATGTTCACCAAGTAAAGGTTTAAACATTCTCACCTGGGCTAGGCACGGTGGCTCACACCTGTAATCCCAACACTTTGGGAGGCCGAGGTGGGCAGATCACCTGAGGTCAGGAGTTCGAGACCAGCCTGACCAACATGGTGAAACCCTGTCTCTACTAAAAATACAAAATGATTAGCTGGGCATAGTGGCAGGAGCCTGTAATCCCAACTACTCTGGAGGCTGAGGATAATCGCCTGAACCCAGGAGGCGGAGATTGCACCATCGCACTCCAGCCTGGGTGACAGAGTGAGACTCTGTTTAAAAAAAAAAAAATTCTCACCTGTAGAAGTATGCAGCTTTGCAGTTGCTGCTGATCATTGAGATTTGTACACTCTGCCAATAATTCACTTTGGGTATGAAAAAGATCATGTTTTAAGACATTTTAGGTATCCACCCCATACCTAGCATAGCAAGGATATCTTCCCTAAAACTTTTTAAGCTGCTTTTTTAATCTAAGAATTGGGCATAACATTAAGAGTAATGAAGATACCTGGTTGGAAATGTGTATTAACCTCTAATCCTTTTAACAAAGTCTTTTACATGTATAGTATACCATTTTACCAATTTTCTCACACTGAATTTCTGACCAGTGACATATTCAACAAGTTGTTATATAACATGCAAAGCACACTTATAGAGATGGAGGGGTTCCAGAAGTGAATGAGACATTACCCTGTTGTTAATGGATTTATAACATGATAGGCAAAATTAAAAATGTACACAACTATCTGCAATAGAAACAATCAGACTAGTAGCTTAAAGGTGATAAAAAGCGCTGTGATGTTTTTGAAAATAAATCAGCTTCTGCACAGGTGAAGAACAGGGAATCCTCCACAGAGTATGACATTTTTGGTGAGCCTTAAGGGACTGATAATATTTAATAATATAATAGAGCAGTAACAAATCTTAGATCAAGATAATAGCAAGCACAAAGGAGGATAGTTGAATAAGCAAAGAGCACATTTGGAAAGGCATATTTGACTACCCATAGAAAATGTTTAAATAAGGATAAAAGGGGTCAAATTTAATATGGAAAACTGAATGACTTACTGAGGAGTTTAGAAATTACTCACAGGCAAATAGGAAATTACTAAAGTTTTCTGATAAGGTAATGGCTATTATTTATTCAAAATATTTATGAGTTTCCGCCTCTACACAGGACAGACACAGTCCATGAACTTCAGGATCCTGGCATCTCCTGGAGGGTCAGAAAAAAGAAATACAATGTAAGATGATATGATTTCTCACAGAGGTTGGCTGAAATCGACTTTAGAAAAATTTGTCTGGAAACAACTAAGGAATGATGGTGAGAGAGAGACAGAAGGCAGAGAGGCTACAGCAGTGAGAAGCAGTAGGGTGCCTCAGAGAGGCGTCTGAACTTCGGAACTCAATAACACTAGATTTTAATTCCAGAACAACAACTTACTAGCTGTGTAACCTTGAGCAACTTGCTTGACCTTTCTTAGGTTGACTTTTCACACCTGAAAGATGAGTTAATAGGGCCTACTTCCGAGAGAGTTGTGAACATTAAATGAGATAATGCATGAAAAGCACCTGGCATCAAGGAGGCAATCAATAGTGGTAGCAATTATTGCAACATCACTGGTAAGAAATAATGAAAGCTGCAGTAGGGCGTTGGCAGTTGGAACATAAAGGCAAAAGTGGAGGAAGGTGCACAGCAAAAGCACACTCTGTAGCAGTGGATCTCAAATGAAGTCGTGCCTGTCTTAAACAGCAAATGTTTTCATGCCCCATCTGAAGACACTCCAATTCAGGAGGATAAATTGAGGTAAATCAAGAGATTCTTGGTTTATAGTCCAGAATTTGAGAAATACTGTCCTATAGGAGTTGGTTGCTGGCTGGACGTCAGGGAAAAATAAAAGGGAGCATTCAAAGATGCTCAGAGCGGAGGTTATTAATCCAAAGATGGTGCATCCTCAAGAATAAAGGATAGAATTCAGAGTTTAGGAATCGGCCTCAAATAGAGGTCTGTATGAACCTTTGCCTAAGAAGAAAATCCATACCCTTCGTCAGGTACTCAAAGATATTTCGATTCCAAAAAGTTTAGTTTCACAATTTAGAGATTATGGGTATAACAGGGATAATGGTTAGGAATAGAAATGGAATAGTCATAATGGCTCATTCAGTCTGGGATATATCCTGCAGGGAATTCATTACGTGATCAGGAATCTGGCATAACATTTGTTCTAGAAGGTACACTTAAGAGGCATCTATGGAAGGATGTGGAGGAACATCATGGTGTGTTGGGGGGCACTGTACAGGGAGAAATGAGGGGAGAAAATAGAATGAGGACAGAACTAGGAGTTTGAATAATGGCCACATAGAGTGGATAAAGAATGAGTGGTCAGTGACAGAAAGACAAATACTGCATGATCTCACTTACATGTGGAATCTAAAACAGTTGGACTCATAAAATTAGAGAGGAGAATGGTGGTTACCAGGGGCTGGGAAGATGTTGGTCAAAGAATATAAAAGTCCTGTTAGACATAAGGAGTAGGTTCAAGAGATCTATTGTACAACATGGTGACTACAGTTAATAACAATGTATTATATTTTTAAAATCACAAAGACTTTGAGTGTTCTCACCACAAAAAATTGTAAGTATATTAGCTTAATTGAGTCATTCCACAATATGTACACATTTCAAAATATCTTAGTGTACACAATACATACAATTCTTATTTGTCATTCAAAAAAATAAAATATAAATGAATGAATGAATGATCAGTAGAGGAAACCAAGAAGAAGAGACCAGAGAGAAAGAGGAATAATGAAAGGAAAGCTCCCTCAGGAAAGCCAACAGAGGTAGCACTTTCAAAAAGGAGAAAAAGTTCAACAATGTTAAATAGCTCAGAGAGGTCAGAGAGCCTGGGGAAGATTATTAAAGTTGTTTATTTGGTCATCAGCCACATTAGAAGCACAATTTCCAGAGAAGAGATTGTAGTTGGGCAGCAACTGGTTAATGATGAAATTAGCATTAATTAATATACTTGGTCTAAGATCATAAATTACAATTTCTCTGAAGAAAACAGGACTTCAGTTAAAGGCCTTATCCCACTGAAATTCTACTTAAATTGCTTACTCTGGTAGCAAAAAGAACCACAATGTGGGGGAATGTGAGACCACTCGGTTGCAGGTTTAAGCTTAATACCTAGAGTTGTCCATTTCCAAATGAGGACTATCCCCAGTAGCCATAGAGACTGATTCAAAAGCCAATTACTTCTGTGCGCCTCTATTCCCTACTTTGTCTGATTTGTGGTGAAGGCTAAGCACAGAGGGAAAACGCCAAATAAAATGTTCACTGTCTCCATAAAATATCCTCACATTACAAGAAGATAATCCTGCTTCTTTGAACTAGCTAAAAACTGACCTTCCCTCACTCAAAACTGCCTGTAAGAGTCCCAGGACAGGTTGTTCTGACATTCTTTTAACATCATCTCATCATCACAGCCAAAACTAATCACAAGAATATTACCCGTTGACAGGTGCATTTATTCTGTCAATTAAATCAGATGGTTAAATCGAAATGTGCCCCAAATCTCTCTTGTTTGCATTATCCATATTGGCGTTTCTTGGCCGTGGTTCATTGCTGGCTGGAAGTCGTCCAGCCCCCACAGAGTCACTTTGCAATATTGTGCCAGCAAGTTTCTATGCTCTGCAACAGCCGCTCCAGCGAGGCCCGAAAAGCACTACAGGACTGACCTGGAATGTTATATTGCTTCACTAAGATTTATTAAAAAATGGAAGGAGGGAGACTTAGATCAATGTTTTTGGAATAGAAGAGGATATATCACCTCATGGCTAAGCACAGGTGACACGTGGGCAATGAAGCGGAGATGCTAAAGACAGGCAGTGAAAAAGGCACACGGAAGATGAAACCAGCCATACGCCTCCAGCTTTCAGCCCCTTCTCTAAAACTCTCCTCCATCAACATGTCCAAAGAAAAGCAGTCTCTTAAAGGCTGACTCCTGTTTTTTAAGACCATTTCCTTAAGAAAATATGCAAATATAACCATAACAAGCAACGGAACCGATTCTACTGAACCACATTCCCATGTTTAGCTACCAGCAAGATCCCTAAACAGATACTGAGTTTACACGACATTTTGGCCACAAAAAGTATTCAAAAAGAGACATATTAAGGACAGGTCTCGGATTCTAGTACCTGATGGATGGTTGGAATGCCAGGATATTTTGGCTCGTATTTCAAAATCCCTTGCTTTTTTCAGCCAGTGTCACCACCTAAGCATAGCTATAAAGATGCCAGTTTTTTGTAAGGTGCATTTGAAAAGCAAATAGTTCACATTGGAGAGTATGAATAGACAACATAAAAATAAAATGGAGAGGTAATGAGTGAAAAAAAATCTAGGGCATGAACAAGAGTTGACATGTTAGACTAGAATGGTAGAGTCACTAGAGAATGTCATGTCTTCTAAAGATATGTTTGGACATAACTATAAATTTCATTCTCCGCATTATCTACCTGAAAGGACCTAACAGTCTCCTTGAAACATTTCAATTGTCAAATAAACATACATGTAGACTTACCTTTTTAAAGCTCAGTATTGCATTATATTGCCTAAATATCAGAAAATATTTGTAAACTATATTTAGCTTCTTTTTTGTCAATGTACATTATCTGCCCAAGGAGCTGAGATGATTTTCCACAATGTTTTGGCTAAAGACACAGTCAGTGACTTTTTTGGTCAAGGTTTTATCCTTTAAAACATGGCATGAAGTTTTAGCCACTCAAATCTCATTGACTCTAATGGTTCAGTCTTCAAATACCACTTAAAAAGTTTAAATTATGATTTATCTTTGAGGACAGTTACCATCAATCAGGTAAATACCTTTTCTGGCCAATTTGTAAGATAGGTATTCTACTCACTTGAAAGAAACGATTTTAGCCTATTTTGCATTTTATTTGAGCACTTCTAAAAAAAATCATATTCTATACCCAAGATAATTATTTGATCCCCAGTTTAGCTAATTAGCATTTAGGACATGGATTGTTCATAATACAAAAGACTGGTCAGGAAAAAAAATTAGCTACCACATGTGCACACTAACCAGTTTGGAGGATTTATTATCCAGGAGTTCTGAAATGTCACAGCTAGTTCAGCAAGACTGAGGAGTTGCCCTCTGCTGAGGAGGAGGAATGGAAGATAGATTTCAACAGGACCCAATGCAGAGCAAGGCTTAGTCCAAATTGTAGATAACTAACTTATCAAGGATGCAATCAGTAAACAAGTAGGACCTATATCCTAAACTTTGAAGTCTAGTATATAACTTTTTAATGCAAATGTGATAGTAAAACAACTCTGAGATGTTTCACTGGCCAGGCTTAAAGTCAGATCTGAGTACTCTAGGGGAAGAAAAAAATGGCTTCCCTTTATCTTGCAGGTTCTTTGGGTGGACAATGCATTATATTGA
Organism: Homo sapiens; assembly: GCF_000001405.40. Classification (NCBI taxonomy): domain Eukaryota; kingdom Metazoa; phylum Chordata; class Mammalia; order Primates; family Hominidae; genus Homo; species Homo sapiens. Next base: position 57,871,772 of record NC_000002.12, read on the forward strand.
CATAATACATATTAACAAGGAAAAAAAACATATTTAATTACATGAGTACACGAGAGTCCCACAAAAAAATATGACTCAAAGAAGATCAAGCTTGAAGCTTATATAGCATCCTGAGCTACAGAAAGGAATTAGGGCCTGAGGCTCCTGGTGGGGTGGTGGAGACAAGTTATGGGAGGGTGAGGGGAGAAAATGTATGGTAAATGAATGTCATCTTGTTATGCAGATAAAAAGTCTCTCAGGTAATAAAAGTGGTCTAGGAACAGCCCTTTTCCAAATACAGATACTTTTACTAATATAGATTTCCTTTATAGATGTAAATTTTCTTTACAAAAGGGCAACTTTTCAGAGCTACTCCTGTGTCTACAGTTTCTAAAAATAACCTGCTCAAAATATGCCAAAGAAGTATATTTTGCGGTGGCATATTCTCGTCTCCTAGTCATATTTTGGTTTGATATGTTCTGAACCCCAACAATGCGATATTAAAAGGTACAATGGCTGTAAGCTTTTTGTTTCAGGTATTATGTGAAATGCTTTGCATATATTATCTTAATTTTTCCAATAGTTTATGAAGTATAATCTATTAAACTTATTTATCAGATAAGGTACCTGAGACTGAAAGAGTTACAGCAGCTTGACTATACACAGCATAAGTAGCCAGGGTCCAAGCTCAAGTTCTTCTGACCCCAAAGCCTGAATGTTTAACCTCTATACTCTATTGCTATTCTTGACCATGCTTGATGTATATAGATAGAATGGAAATCTTGATTTTATTATAAATTGCTCAACATTTTACATCTTGTTAAGATGCAGAAAGATACTGTCCCCTTGCATGAGAAAGTGATTCCTGATAATTTAAGAATTCAAACTCTAACACTTTATTAGAAATAAAGGGAAGTAGAGGGGAAGGGGAATACAGGAAAGAAAAGAAATCCAATGTTATAGTAAACTAGGACCCTTATTCTTGGCCACAGTTCTGATTTTTGTCATTTTGTAGAAGACAGATCAATCTAATTCCTTTTCTTCCATTAAAGTCTTGATAATTTTTAAGATGTGTCACATGAAGAAAAAAATAATGGTTGGGCATGATTTCAAATCAATTAAAAATTCAGGCTGATAAATAACTTTAACTTACCTTGAGGTTATTGGTTAATTTGGGTTATTGCTGTGGTTTGAATATTTCTGTTCCCCCAAATTCACATGTTGAAATCCTAATTTCCAAGGTGAGGGTGTTAAAAGATGGGGCCTTTGAGAGGTGATTAGTGCCATTATAAAAAAAGGCCTGAGGAAGCTTGTCTGCCACTTCCACCATGTGAGGACACAGGAAAAAGGTGCCATCTATGAGCCAGAGCAAGCCTTCACTAGATGTGGAATTGACTAGGGTCTTGATCTTGGACTTCCCAGCCTCCAGAACTGGGAGAAATAAATTTGTCATTTATAAGCTAGCTTGTTTATGGTATTTAGTTATAGCAGCCCAAAAAGACTAAGACAGGTATTCTATTAGCATATATACTCTACTTTATACTACCACACTTCAATCCTTGCATACATACATTGTAACCCATCTACTTAGCAGTATATACATAACATATATCTGTTAGTTGAGATGAAAATAAGAAATTTCTAGGTTATCTCAACCTTTTAAAAGTCAACCAAAGCTACTTATTTTGGGCATCATTTTGTCCAGGGTTTTCAATCCTGGAAGCTCTGCCATGAACATGTTCTACTAATTAAATTCTAGCATTTCTGGATCTAACTCTAATATAATTACCAAGAACCCTTCACTTGTGCCCTTTCCTGGGCTCACTCTTAATGGAAATATTTTCAAGTCCCCAAGGTTGTCCCCATTATTTTGCAGCATACTCTTAGTTTTAAAAGGAAAAAAAAATCAATTCCTTTCTCCCTGCTTCATATTTTTGTCCTTCTCCAGCATGGAAAGCCACTAACCATTTTTTAAGTGCTCACAGACAAAACTTGTCTTATATCCATTCTAATAGTGGTGTTATGAATCTATTAGAATACTCTCATTATCAGCCAACACCATCAAATACTTTCCCAACCCTACACATCTGAATCTTCTGCACACTTTGGAGCTTATTTCAATTCCTACCTCTTCCATTAGTGTTCTTTGTAGAAACCTTTCATAATGACCTCTTTAGGTTAATGACCTCCTATAACCTCCGCTTCTTCTAACTTTTCATGACCATCTCTATTATATATCTTGACATTCAACTGGGTACAATTCATGGTCTGGAACTGTTCATTGTTTGCCTGTCTCTCTAAAATACAAATCTCTCCATCAAGATCATAAACAGAGAGAACAGACTTTGTTTTGTATTTCTTTTTTATGTTCCTAAGAGAATTCAGTCTCCTAAGAGAAAAATAATATTTAAGTCCTTAAAAATTTACCAAATATGTTCCTAGCATGTTTTGCACACAGTAGTGACACAAAAATAGTTGATGAATTTAAATAGAAACCTAACATTTTGGTAGCTTCAATTTTCAAGATGAAGCTTCTTGAAGAAATCCCATGTTCTGAATATTGGCCAACAGGGAAGACAAATTTGTTGAAACCAACTTCTCATTTGAATGACTAATGTCATTGAATGACTAGATATTCACATGACCACAGACTGTAAGACCACTACATCCCTGTGAGACCACTAACAGAAGTTAAGCTGTCACTAAAGAAACTGCCCCAATAGGACACTAGACCACTTAAGATGAGTTTCTCTCTTACGGCCCTGTTTATCCAGTATTGGTTTCGAATGCAGTTGACAATAGTCACTGAAAGTTGGTTTAAGTAAGTATAAAACCCTTAACATTGAGTGATCTTTACCATTTTGAGGAGGTCATCACTCATTAAGAGTTTGATAAAAAAAAACTATGGGCTAAAATAATGCTACAGCAAACATTAAAATGCCATTAACATATTAGGCCCATGTTTGAATCAGTTTAACACAAACCCATCCAACTCAGACATGACTTTTATTTTTAAGGTCAACTAGGCATCACCACGTTGTTGATGTATATAAAGTAAGAGACAAGAAGCCCCTGGAAAATGGCCAGATTTCTCAGATTACATCCCATATGAGTCTTTTTCTTTGGGTTGAGACTTGGCACCATTAATCAGTGACTTCACTTGGAAGTAAATGGGCATTAACCATCTGACTTTCATTTGTCAGGATATTTCTGATTTTTTTTAAAAAATGGAATGCATGGTAAATTCTGGACTACCTGTGTTCTCCAAGGGCTTGGCATATGACTAAGCAAATATATTAGCCCAGTGGATTCACCTTTCCAAATGAATGGGCCTGGATCCAGAAAACACAAATCTTATAAGGTTGCCTGGACTGCCAGCTGCCTCAATTTTAGCACAACGATTTAATGTATTTTAAATAAATGTAACATAAGGAAAAAATGCTTTGTACAAATTGGTCATCTGTTGTTTTTCTGGCTGGCACCATGATTTATGTAATATATCAGTAGAACGACATCTCTCTATCTGTCTCTTGGATAACAAAGTACATATGGAAGTTTCTTTATAGTGCTTTAACCCCCTGATTACTAGAAAGGTCCTATTGACTATTTATTGTATAACATCTAAGTAAGTTAAAGATGCTGTCAAATATTTGAATATTTCATTTTTTGTATAGTCCACTCTCCTTATCCTGGATACTATCATGTCCCCACACTCAAGGCTATAGCCTTCTTTTTCTCATTGGGTACAAAAAGTCAGCACTCAAGATTTGGGTGACATTCATCCCTATTCAAATTAAATTATCATAATATCCCAAATTACTCCTTATCGATTTGGTGCTAATTATAAGGGCTACATGTATAGATTTACTTGCCATCCCTTTTTTTAAGGAAAAAAATATATAAATAATATAGCCCTCCAATATGGTGAAGCATAATGCAATTCTTGTATTTTTGGTAGTGCACCAACACCAGTGATGACATCAGCACAATGCACTGGAGCATGAAATAGAACAACTCTTTCAACCTATTTTGGATCTCACACACACACTCACAAACATCGTGAAAATCTTATGCAAACTTGGAACCCTCTCTCCAGAGGAATATATATTTGTCCTTACATAAAATTTTGCATTAAATTTCAAGAGGTTCGCAAGTCAGAAGAACATAACAATATGATTCTGTATGTCTTTCAAAGAGAAAGCATTGTTTTAGCTCTCTAATTAATCCCATAGGAATAACATGGTGAATTTGTGTTGTAGCTTGCTTGTAACAATTGTTTCTGGGCTAGTTAGCTTTCTTGGAGCTAATGAGGAAGGGGGTCAGGGTTCAATTCATTTAGGGGTCAGTTGGTTGTCATACAAAGAAAAGACCTTTGCCATATTGCTGGCCCGCCATCTTGCAAATTTATGCATTTTTCTCACCAATGAGCGAATGAATGGCTAAGAACAAACTATCACTTTTTCTAGAAATAAAACTCACAAGTGCCTTCTCTTGCTTTGGGAACATCGATAATTATATAATTATTGGAAGCAGCAATGTGGTATAGTAGAAAGAAAGAGTCAAGAGACCAGAACCAAAGTTTTCTATGAACTAGCTGGCTGTGTGACTTTAAGCAAGTTATTTGGCTTCTCTGAGTTTGTTTTCACATTAAATAAGAAGGGCAGACTAGATAAAATGAAAGATTTTAACTCATAGTTTCTGGTATTAAGGATCACCACATATGGAGGAATTACAATTTCATATAGTAGTAAAAATGAAAGTACATCCTAAATAGGGAACCTCTGACAGTATTCAAATGATTCAGCAGTAATACAAAGTTCCCAAGGTGAAGCATTCTTACTGCTGTCATTGATAATGGGGAAACAATTCACAACAAATGCTACCTACTGATTTACTGTTATAGTTGATCTATATGAATTTGCATTAATAAATATATATTTTGTGTTGAAGTCTATGCTCCTTAGTTCCTAGGGAAGAAAATACACATTCACCATTAAGTTAACAAAAGAGGAGAATATGATTTTAAAAATATTTAAAACCTCCTTGGTTCAACAGAAGGGGCCAGAAGGAGATCCTAAAAGAAACCAGTCTCTTCTATAAGTCAGGAATATCAGATGGTTTCTCTGCATAGGCTGATGAAGTAAAGTACAGATTAAAGCACACAGTTACTTAACTTTCACTGCTCATAAAAACACTACCTACATTTGAAACCTCTCTATATTTCATTTTTTACATGCACCACTTACTACACCTGCCGACAATATACACACAGAGATAATGGATAGATGCTATCAAGTCACGCTTAATGGTGGTTTTTTGTAGTATCAAAAAGTGTCTTTATTTTCATTTTTTATAGCCTGCTAATTTGGCTACAAAATTAATGCCCATTTAAGGGAATATGGTGTGGGACAACTGTGCAGCAATATTAAGTGAGGAAGCCATATGTTTCTCAGCCCCACCATACTGTCTGTGACTGCCCCTCACCCCTTGTGGATTAGCTTTTTCTATATATAGGCCTGCAGCGGGTGGAGTGCCTTTTTTTTATTACAGGTGTTTGGTGGAGATCATGTTAAATAAAGGTTTTGAAGAGAAGCAAGTCTGTGTAAAACATTCAGAAACAACAACTTGCTTTCATTTAAGATGCAGTCCAAAGAGACTTGCTTCAGACTCTTAATTTGTATTATTATCTTTATGTATCATAAGTGACTGCCTATCCCTAGATAGCTGACACAGTGCTCAGAATATTCAGAGCTGTCTGGTTTTAATATCTTATAGTTTGTTTAGAAAAGTAATGGAAGCAAACTTATTACAGGACTAGATTGTGACCAAAACTGAAAATACATGTCATCAAAAAGACAGTTTCCTATTAAATTTCAAGAAAGGTACACTTTCTGGGAAAGAGATAAAAAAAACTAATGAATTATTAAGTACATCCACAATACAAAATCCTCCCCCCTTCTTCTTTTCTTTTTTTTTTTTTTTTTTTTTGGCAAGTTGTCATTATATTCTCTTGCAATTTGCTGGTTCGGGGCATAATCTATGATACAGCAGCAATAGGTAGAAACACCCAATAAAGTCAAGAGGGCCTTCAACTAAGGAAAAGGTTAAACATGGCCACTGATAACACCCATCATCAGAAATTATATTATCATGGTTTCCTTGAGCTCAAGAGAATTCTCTTCCACTGACTCATTGGCTGCCCAAATTAAAGTGTAGGTGTGCACAGCCTCAAAGAGGAAATCAAACAAGAGAGAGGGTATAAAAACAATACAAGTGGAGAAGCATGAGGTTTATATTTTTATGCTAATGTGCTAGTAAGAAAAGGACTCCATTTAGGGAGCAATAAAGAAAGGGTGGGGGAAAGGCTGTGAGCAGATCTCTGTAAAAAACACAGAGGCTTTCTATGCAGATGGGGGATTTAAAAGAAGTAAAATGATAACCACATAGTCAAGAGACTAGAAAAGAGACCTTGATGTTTGATAGTTGTAATAACCTGCAGAGTGCTCTAATGGCTCGGGGATCAGGTGCAGAGCTACAGCAATAACGAGAGCTGAATAATTATCTCGGCCGTATCTGTATCACCAAAGTCCCAGCGTATGAGCTATATAAGGAGGCTTCTGCTGCCTCTCCAAGATTTCCTGAAATGTTAAATCACTGATTTGGGAGCACTTCCAGCATTAGTACTGCCCAGTTAGAAAGAAATAAAGCCCAGAATTCTCCTGTGGCAGTTCTAATGTCTTTGTTAATTATGAATTATGGGTAAACATGCAGACTCACAGAGGTCATGGCTGTCAGCAACAATAGTTTTCAAGAAGGATTTTTACGAGGGTCTTTTTCACTCCACCATAATGTCCATTTTATATACATAAACAGAGCCAGGCATACAAAAAAAAACGGTGTTTGCTTTTTAGGGGAGTTGTATTTTTTTTTCTTTTTTTCTCCCTCCCCCCCTCCTTGTGTAGAGGCATGTCGCTGCAGCCAAAGCAAAGCGGTTCATAACTAGAGTTCTCCTCTGCGACTGACAACAGCTGCACTATTCCAAGGACTAGGCGAAAAGAGTCACTGGGGCTGAGGCTAGGTTAATGACCAGACACTGAAAACCACCTCCTTCTTGTTAATAGAGTAAGCGGCCAGTTGGGTAACCTGTCAGCAATGGTCACCTTTCACATACAGTGGAGAAACAAAAGCTGCATACAGTATGCTTGATTAACCTCACTTAAATGGCAATGCTGATCTCAAATCTATCCCAAGAGTGCATATAAACAGGATTAAAATTATATTATGTGTGGATCTTGCCCAACAAAAGCAACTGGCACAAAATCATTTTAATTAGGTGGTAGCGGCTGTAACTCATTCAACTTTGGCATTAATTCTTTTTGTCCCATCAAAGAACTTCTGGGACCTACTTATAGTGTGGAATAAGGGAGATGTTGAGTAGACAGCAAATCATTCTGGTGCCTCAGCTTCACGCATAGGGTATTGGCATACTGACAATTGGTTAAACTGTACAACCAGATCAGAATTTGTCCAGAATATTCAGAAAATCTGGTGCAATCTTTGTACATACCTTTTTCGAGGTAGACAGCAGATTCAGAAAAGTATTTTACTATATTGACCTTCAAACGGTCAGAGAATGCTAGTATTACTAGTTATTTTGGAGGCAATTTTCTTTGTACATAGCAAACTTAGGAACTTTATTAACCTCTGGATGTAGGAGAACTACAGTTCAGTATTAGGCCCTCTTCATTCTTCTTTCTGCCCTTTTTCTCCTAGTCCATTTAAATGAAATTTTCTTGTTGTGGGACCTGTGAGGACTTCCCAGGTTCCAGCTTAGAATAGATGTTACAGTAAAACCTCCCCACTGACCTTTCTTAAGAAATGTCATTTGTTTACTTGAATCGATTTTCAAGATGAAAGCTGAGTAGGGTTAATTGTACCCTAGATCACATAAGAGAAGGTTCACAGTGAAGAAACTTTCTCTTCATTTTTACAGGAAACACAGAAATGATATGAAATGAAAATCCATAGAGCATGCAGATAACTCCAATATCCAGAAGATGGTTCCTCCCTGCCCAAGTGCTTACCAACAATGGGGCCTCACTGTACAGACCTGAGTTAACTGCAAGCCCTTCCATTTTAAGAAATATTCTATTTTAATTCCGGGTTTCTAATAGCATAGCACCAAAGAGTTAGCTGATCCTTCTCAATAGATTCAGAAGGGCATAGAAGGAAGAGTCCCACAGATGTTGCTCCTAGGCCCAAGCTTCTCCCACACCATTCCCTATTCCCACAGCCTAGCTGAGCCCCATATTTTACCCTGCCCTTGTAAAGAGAAGGGGTAACCAAAGGCAAGGTACATTTTTTTTTTTACAATAACTCATAAGCAATTCAGCAAACCAATGTGGCTCAAGTATCCACCATGGAACAGGCATTACCTTCCCAATCATCCCATGAACCTCCACCACACAGTTCCTTAACCCTGGGGAGCACTGAGATTGCACCTATACCTAGGCCCATCCCCAAGAATTCTAATGTAACTGGTTATACAGTCAGTAAATATTTATTACTACTATGTTATTATTAACCATCACTACCTAGATAACAAAGCAAATCAACAAGTCAGAGTGTAAAAAGGGAATCTGCCACTGGCTTTAACTCGGAATTCTTAAAATATTTAGAGACATAGATGATTTTCTGACTTAGAGAATAATAACTTACAGGAATTCTGACCATAAATATCTTCAAGTTCTAGGGAAGCTTAGTAAATAAACCCGACTATTCTGAATAATAGATAAATATACAGAAGTGGTAAGAAAGAAAACGCTTAATTCAATGTGAAAACCAAGTGAAAGTTAAGGCAAAGTCTCTTGGGATGACACAGGAAAAATGTGGTTTGGCTTCCTTGATAAGCCACGTGGATGTTAAAGAAGGTGGTAATGAGAGAAAAATCCAGAGCCAATAAAACGAGCTACTTTGCTAGCCAACTTTTGAATTTTTTTTAAAAAAGGAATTGTTTTATAGCATCCAAAAACCAATTCTCATTTCATAATTTCTTAACCCTGTTTGGATTAAGAAACCAAATCATATTTCTTAGGAACAAAATAATGTAAACCTTACTGTGTTTAAAAAAAAAAAAAAAAAAAAAAAGTCGTCTTTTGCACCTCATAGCCAGAGCTCAGAGAACCTCAGGAGTCAAGAGGGAAAAGGTGGGGTTGATCTCAAGTTTGGCAATGGCTATTGTGAGGGAGGCGATTTGACCCACTCAAATGTCTCCCTGAATCAAGCTTCTATTTTCTCTCTATTCTTATTTTCACTTTTGCATTTTAATGTTGCCTGAATCTATTCCAAGTGTCCTTTGCCATGGCAACACCTGCAGGTGAAGGCCCTGCTCCTCGCTGCCAGCGTCGCCAGTGACGAAGAGGCAACTAATCACTGCACAAGGAGAGGAATGCAATCTCCAAGACACCCATGAACAATTTGAGTATAAGGGTGTCCCTGAAGCACCCTCTTCTCACAGGTGTTTAACCTGTTTAGCCATACACCAGGAAAAGAGAAAGTAAACAAAGACCCTTTCTTTCCCTGTTGTTTGCATTTTATCACTCATCTCCCCAAGACTGATTTATTTTCTAAATTTGCATTAACAGCCCCAACGTGTCAGAGTTATTTCAGCAGCATGTAATAGGGCCCCAACAGTGGAGAAGGAGAGCTCTACTTGTTCTCCCTCCTCCACACCTCTGAGCCCATGAGGATCTGAGGCCAACTCTAATGCTACCCCTTCTATGCCAAATGACAATTTCCAGGGCCAAGGCATATGACATTCCTGCCTTCTAGGCCTTTGCCAATCATTCCACATTTCTGAAAAGACTCTTATTCAGAGATGTTTTCAGTCAGACCACCTATGCTTCCTATTCATGCTGTCAATAAAAATAGAATGCTATCCACTTCTGTATGATGTTACAGCCTTTCAACTCAGGCCCTTAACGCACTTCATGAACTTTCTCTGGGTGCCAAGTACTGCTCTTCTCCCCCTTCTCCCAGTGGACAAGCAGGCATACAAGAGTCAAGAATCTGACCCAAAGCCTGACTTAAATAAGTCAACACTAAGGATAGAAAAAGCCTTGAAAATCTGATGTTCTAACCATCCACTTACCCAGCCTCTCTTTGTTCGTTATAATTTCTGCAATACCTTAGCAGGTCAAGGAGACCACAGCTGGCAAAGTACTATTGTTATCTGTGGAGACTTGTTGCAGTGTTCAGTGTGATTTAAACTTCTATGTAAACTTGCTGTTTCTTTTCATTTACAAAGTTAATATATTATCCTCTAAAGTTGGCAATAGGTGGGTCTGACTCACCCTGATTGGGCAAAGATAATCACAGGGCTTCAGCTTTTTGTAGGCCATGAGAATCTAAATTCACCATATAAAACCTCCATGTTTAATTGTTTTGTTTTTAGGAAGTCCCTTCTAGAAACATAGCTGCCAGTGATGTTGTATTCATTCCCCCTCCAAACGTAAAATCAAAACTTTCAAGAGGACGTTTTGCTCTGGAAACTTCTGAGATCAAAGGTCAAAAGGTTCGTGATGGGCAATTGGCTGTTAGTCTCCTGAGTCATCTTGATGGACTAAAGAATGTTCCCGGTGGCTACTCATTCCTCCCCACCCTACTCCCAGTGCCCATAAAGTCAGTTTGACTGCCCTCCCCCAGCTTTCCTGAATAGTAAATTTCCACTTTCATTGTTGGGATAATTTTCCTTCACAAGAATTAATTCTCAATGGTTTTTCAGTCCTTATTTTAAAAATCCATGATTCACTCCTAATGACTGGTCCTGTCAGTTCTGCCTCCTAAATATATCACAGATACCTCTCCCCTCTCTAACCACACTGTCCCTTTAACCAAGTCCTTCCTTGTAATTACAAGTGAACTATGCCACGGTTTATGCTCCTCAAGGGCCAGGATTTTTGCCTGTGTTCTTCACTAATAGAGTTCAAGCATCTAGAACAATGTCTGGCACATAGTAGGCGCATCAAAAAATACAGGTTAAGTCAATGAGTGATTAACAGAATTTCACGAAAGAATGAGTGAACAGACAAGTTCAATACTCTTAAAACGAAACTCCCAGTTTTCAGCCTCACATCTCTCCTCTCCAATCTCCATACCAGAGCCAGAATAGAACTTCTAAAATACACATCTAATCATATAATTCCATCCCTTAAAGTTTCTCAGTAACTCGTTATCCACTACAAGCTAAAATCACTCAACAAATAAGGCTATTCAGGATCTGGCCCCTGTCCCATTTCCAGCCTCTCGTTATTCCTCCCATACACAACATGGACTCTAACCATGCTGAGCCGCTTTCATTTTCTCAAACACATCATTCTCTTTTACATTTGCTCCCTGGCTAATGCTGCCCTCTCTGGTTTAATACCTTTGCTTGCCCTGTTTACCTGTCATTCTCTACTTCTACTTTGGCACTTCTATTAATATTGTTCTTTCTGACATTTCCTGGCCAGTTCGTGCTTTCCCTTCTGTGTTTCCATAGCTACATGATTACATGGCTATCTTCCCAATAGACTGGGAGTCATCTTTCATTTTGGTATAATCTACACCTAGCACAATGTCTGGCACAAAGTAAATGTTCAATAAATGATCAAATGAGCCCATAGCACTACCATAGGAAACTCAATGAATTTAGAATTCGAAATTATTTTAGAAATCCTCTAACACCACCTTCAGACTCCTGGCCTGCCTCTTCTTAGCTTTGCCACCCGGGGAAAGTTATTTAATCTGTCTTTGTTTCAGTTTGTTTATTTGTAAAATGGGGATAATAGTACTTTTCTAATAAAGTTATGAGTATCAAGTGGATTAATACACTTAGATTGCTTAGAAAAGTTTCTGAATCTGAGTTAACTCTCAATATATGCTTGTTATTTAAGGGAGGGAATTATGCAAAAATATAAGATACAGAACCTCAGATACATTAAATGTTAAATTATTTGTTTAAAGATGCACTACTAGTATAATCAAGATTATAATTAAAGTTTCCAAACCTCTCATACACAGTATAACCATAACCATATGATGCTCGTTTCCAAATGAATTATGAAAACTTCTACATATGACATAAAGATATAAACGTATTCCATGTAGAAGATCATTTAAATTTTGAATTTAAGTTTTTAGATCCCCAATTTATATATTTATGCTGTGTACATGAAGTACAAAAAGAGAAATTTAAAATAATAGCATGAAAGATAAATACACATACAAGTTCCAGTATTTTCTGACAACAAATGGATCATGGCACACTCCTCACTTAGAAGAGTCCTGGAATTTTTCACATAGAATTATAGTTTGGTTTTCACATATCTAATTTTCCTTCTAAATTGTGAGCTAGTTGAAGACAAGAACAGATTTGAACAAGACTTGAAAATCTTTGGATTTAAGTGCAATTGCCTAATATCATGCTGAGTTCTTAGTAAATACATAGTAAGTATTCCTTGTATTCAAAAAGGATGTGCCATCAGGGTGTAAGCTAAGAAAGTGTAGTAGTGTCAGCTTTTATGGACATTTGAGCTGATTCCAACAGCCCCTAGTTGAAATATGAATTCATCTCCATATTTCCCAGAGTTTCAACTATAACAACTTATACACAAACATGCCCAAGAGAATATGTGTTGATCTCTATCTCTTAGGAGAATGTACACAGGACACCTGTTTTTCTGGAAACTTGCTCAATAGAATTTTAGATAAAAGACCAGATGACCATAGTGGAGATTTGGGAATTATTAGAATGTTGCTCTGCCCATGCACTGTCCAGGGCTAGTAGCTCTCGAATTTAAAATCTTTACATAAGATGATGTCAGGCATGTAGAAAAAACACAGATAATTCTCCAAAACACAGTTACTAATGGTTTTTATCCTGTTGGAAAGAATTTAGATGTGGCATTTTAGCTACACTAACATGGATAGATTAAAGGTATACTACATAAAAGTTATTATCTTAATAAACAAACAAGGACTAGGAAGTCTTTGACCATAAGCCATAATTCTTTTACATTTCTAGATTTCCACCTAGCTGTCTAGTACTGAAAGTTAAATGTTCACAACTGGAGTTTTGGCTCAGCAATTGCTTAACTTTTCATTGCAATACCTCTTCATGGATGTAAAATGGATGGATTTTGCTTTAAAAAATAATACTTTTTTCTTATAGCTTTTTAAAATTATAATTATTTTGTGTCAGAAATATAATTGTACTCCATATTGAAAGGTAACCCAGTGGGGGAATAATTTTGTACAATTACAAAAAGTTTTAATAAAAGACTGATAAGTAAAGTTTTAAATTTTTAATGCATTCTGCAGGCAGTTGAATGCCTTTTGCCGACTCTGTCACTTATCATTAAAGCTGTGTGAAAGGGAGGCCTACCTGTTATACTTGACTTGATTGGCAAAAGTGTACCCTGACAAATAAAAGTGAAAGAGACAAAAGTCAAAATGAAAAAAAAAAAATTAAAAACACTCACAGTTTCATAGCTAATTTAACATTAATGCCTCCCTTTTACCCACAAAAATTTCTTTGTATTTAATATTCTGTTCTTACCTACTTATTAGCCTACCATTGTGACTGTTAAATTCCTGTATAACATACAGCAATAATTCATTTCTGTAAAGGCACATCCAATTTCCAGGGCATGCTTTTTGGCTTAATTTGAAAAAATTACCCTCATTTGACAGAGAAAACACTTTTCAACATGCACAACCTACACATTTATGTGCAAACTAAATCCAAAGAGTGTAATCTATCTAAGCTTTCTGTGATGAAGGCATCATGAGAGCCATCCTGCAAGCTGCACTGAATTTGCTTCAAGGCTACAATTTGACGTCTTCCTACTGGAGTATCATGCTAGTGTTTGATTGTTTGTTTACCCTGGATTCTTCAGATCCTAAACAACCCACCCAAATCTTTTTCAGTTTCTTCAGGTTTGTGTCCAGTGAGCATCAGCAGCCTGCATTCTACTGCACTGTCCACAGACTAGGAAGATTCAAGTTCTGTATTCAGCTCCCTCTGCCCTCTTCAAACTGGCATGGATAATCTTGTGGCAAACATCAAATTGTCACTTGGTTTCATGTGTCTGTTGCCTAATAAGTTTATTTTGGATCAGACTGATTTCCCAGCATATGCTCAAGATAGAATCTTCAAATGATGCAAAGTGGGATTTTCAAATTATGATCCTGAGCATTTTTTTTTCCTTATCCACTTACATGTAATCTAAAAATAAATACCCAGGCTCCAACAGGATATGACAACTTCAGCAAACAAAATTGAAAATAGCTGCCTTACAATAGTCTCTCCCTCCAAATGAAACAGGGGAAAATATACCTTTAGAGAAAAATACAGCGCCTGTTAAGGAACAGACAATCTACTCACAGCAGGTTTGTGAAGAGAGGCACAAGGACATAAACAGCTCAGGATGGGTATCAAGCAAGGAAAAAACCAGCCAGCAATCACTGTGCTGAATCCCGGAAGGGGCGCGGGGAAGTGGTCACAGGTGATTGTCATGTGTGATAATTATTATTACTGTACACCTGCTCCTCCGCACTAATTAACTTTGGATATGCAAATCAATCCTATTGCATCATGCCCGTGCTCTCCTCCCCTACAGATAAGAAGATGTTCAGCTGCTGGATTTAATTAGGATAATGAACGCCAGGCCCACGGTGGCTTGGCAGGGGAGGTGGGGGGGAAGCTGTGACTGACCTTTTCTCCCAAAACGTTGACATTTTCTAAGGCTTCTGAGCACTCGAAGTCACCTCCATGGCTGGGACATTGATAGGAGCGGATTGATGAGGTGTCATTAGAGGAGAGACGCCGTGGCCCCAGCGTTTGCTGGGAGAATACAGCAGGTGTTCTGACAAGGACACACACCATCACTGTTATTTGCCAAACAATTCTCTTGATTCACTAAAGTCAAGCATGCCAGCATTTCTTTATAAAAGAAAACAAGGCTGCTTTTCATATCCACCCAGAGGAGAGGTCATCACTAAATTGCATTTCTGAATTACTTCTCATTTCACATCAATATATTAAAAAGGTTTCTATTATTCCTCTCCCTTCACATCTTCCTTTCCTCTGCACCCCTCCAATCTCCCCCACCCTGCACTGCCCAGAATCCTCATGGCATGGAAGCTGAAAACATTATGCGATAGTAAGTTAAAAGGGGTTAACTTTGTTCATATTAATCCCTATAATTCCATTCCTATAACATAAGGTGACACAAGGGCTTCTGTTATCAAATGGAATGAGAGGGCAAAACGGCATCTTCTCATTTGGATATCTGGCCTACTTGTTTATCAAAAAATTGTTTGCAATTACATATATATATATATTCCTTATTTGAATTTCAAATTCAAAGATATGCATACAAAATAATATGGAGGAACATAGACTCAATACTGTTCTGTTTTTCTCTCTCTGATCATTTACTCAGCTTTAACTTTTTAGCCATCTGTGTGCCAAGCTTTTCCTATATTTTCCATTCTGACAGTGGAGTTTTATGT
Organism: Homo sapiens; assembly: GCF_000001405.40. Classification (NCBI taxonomy): domain Eukaryota; kingdom Metazoa; phylum Chordata; class Mammalia; order Primates; family Hominidae; genus Homo; species Homo sapiens. The sequence continues at coordinate 57,887,306 of NC_000002.12, forward strand.
AGTAATAAAATAATACCACACTATCTCTCTTTTTTCTATTCTCTTAATGTGTTAAATTATAATAGAAGAATAACTTTAGAAACTAGTCAATTTCACAAAGATATGAAATAAAAGCCCCTTGGTGTATCTGAAAAACCAAACTGATCAGAGCCCAACATGAAGGCAATGCTAGAGTTTCATTTCTAGAATGAAGCAGAAAGGTTTCACAAATTACACCTGGATTTAAATAAAAAAGAGTGCGGTATAATTCTGTGTCTATAATCTTGATATGGTGCACATCGCATGAGGTTTCTTCTAAGAAAAAAGCTTTGAGGTGGTTTACATTTGTTTTAGATCCAAGAGATGACTTACTACTCTTTCCTTTTCTCTAAAAAATGTCATTAATACTTGCATAGGGAAGTATTAATTCCTTTGTAAGGAAGTATCACAAATACTAGTATATATTCAAGTAATATGTTAGGGGGTGGAGATAAATTGATCTTTTCTCCAGTACTTTAAAAAATCAGATAGTTAAACCTAGAACTCTAAGATAATATAGAATCTAATAATCTAATATAAAGAAAAACAAGTGCAAGAAAAACTGCTATCTTTTATTTTTTTCCTCTGAGGTATTACAAAGTGTTGGAATTTAGTAATCAGGGTTTATCTCTTATAACAAGATAGTTACTAGAATGTTATAGGTTACAGCTGGTTGCAATATTCCTTATTTTCTTATTATACCCCTTTCATAATGAGGTTTCAGCATACACTGTTAGTTAACATTTGGCAAGGTACAGCTTTAGAGGTTCCACACATAAGGCTATCAGCAAGGAGCAGGATGTGTCATATAAAATGGGAGTGAACATTTGAAGTTTGCTTGTGTTTCCTTAAAAAAAGAAAGCTAGAGAGAAAGCTCTAGATCAATCATTTTATCATTTGGCTTATTAATTGCTACTTTATTTAGACTGTCTCTGCAATTACTAGTAAAGGTTGTCTCTTCCTGCTCCTTTATCTCTCAATCATGTCTCTTCAGTTCTGCACCTTCGGATATAAAGCTCCCACAGCTCTACCTAGAAATATTTTGGCTAGCTCTGTCTCCCCTCCCCAGCTTCAGTACTTCTCTACAAAAGCCTGTGAAACTGATTTCATTAAGAATATTCTCAAGTATGTTGGCATTTTTTATTGCAGCACTTGTTCATTATCAATCTCAGAACTAGAGAAGTAGAATTGTTGAACCAAGAACCTGGACTCTGAATCTTCAGGGAGGCAATGTCTGACTGCGAAGAGCAGAGCAGCTGAAGGCTCCTTCCCCAGCTACAGACACCTCTAGACCTTGACTCCTTAGACAAGAGGCGCCAGTGGTTTCACAGATCTATGTGCTTAGTACAAAAGGAAGAAAAGGCCACCACCACCTCAATACGACTGCAGGAAGTCATGGTAGAGGTTCACATCCAAAGAGACCACATTAAACCAGGATTTAAGAAGTTAGAACTCAAAAGTCTTACTTTCAAGTCACAACTTTGATTTGGGAGGTCCACTTAAACCTCACATTAACTTTCTCTCTTTGTTTTATCTTGCTGGCTATGTATCCTTGGGCAAGTTCTTTTCTTGACCTCCCTCAACCCCAGGCTCCTCATTACATCTATAAAATGAGGATAACAGTACCCCATCAAATTTTGGTGAAGATTAAATGAGATAATAATGTGTATGTGGTTCATAGTATTCAAGTTTTTCTAAAAAAAAAATAGACTTTAGTGACTTTCTTCTTTTTTAAATTTTTTATTTTTAGTTATTATGAACACATAATAGTTGTATATATTCACAGCGTACATGGGATATTTTGATACAGGCATACAAAGTATCAAGGTAATTGGGGTATACAGACCTCAAGCATTTGCCATTTCTATGTGTTAGGAACATTCCAATTTCACCCTTTTAGTAATTTTAAATTATATAATTATTGTTAACTATAGTCACCGTATTGTGCTACTAAATATGAGATCTTATTCATTATATCTAACGTATTTTGTACCTATTAACCATCCCCACTGCATATGGGCTTCCCTGCTTTCTTCCCACCCTCTCGTAAGCACCAGTTCTATTCTCTATCTCCGTGAGTTCAATTTTTTTTTCTTTTTTTTTTAGCTCCCACATATGAATGAGAACACGTGATATTTGTCTTTATGTGTCTGGCTTATTTAACCTAACATAATGCCTTCCTGTTCCATCCATTCAACTCTTAATAAATGTAAGAAATATTACAAGAGTGTCTAATAACATAGTATATACGATGTGTGTTTGTGTGTGTATAATGAAACCAATCTAGTGGTATTTTTCAAAACTGCATACCTATGTGTATATCTTATCAGGGAATTGTGAGCATTTTTAAGCTATTGCTTGTAAGATCCTTTGGCACCTCTCTTTGGGCACAGTGCTTTGTGTATTACTCTTTGAATAGGAGAAATATATTTATTATACATAATCATCATCTCTTTTTTTCTACCAAAAAGATCATAATAGCTAGAATGCTGGATACAAATATAAAAATTGAATACTAGGTCCCTGTGATCATTGCAGTTGCATCTTTTCTGAATTTAAGAGCATATATGTTAAATCCTTCAATCTGAGAAATTTAAGAATGTATCTAATGAACTTTATAAATAGAAATCTAGGAGTATTCTAGATACTTTTTGCATACAATTTAAGCTCAGTAATACAACCTATTGATTATTTGCTTTGATTTTTATTTTACTATTTGACCAAAGCAAGCAGAAACCTATGACTTTTTAGACTTACCCTATTTTAGGCTACAAATATATTACCCACTTTTGGGCCGACATAGTCAATATGAAATCTGTCACAAGATAAAATGAAATCCTCTGTATTTTGTGGTGGAGACATCATGGATTAGACTTAGGGTCAGAGGACCTGGGCTGTCATCGTGGCTTAGTTCTGAGCATACTATGTGACCTCTTGTGAACCACTTCACTTTGCTGAATGTCACCTTTCTTTTGTATGAAATAAGTTAGACTAGATCAGGGCTTCTCAATTCTTTCATGTGCATACTAATCACCAGGAGATTTTGATAAAATGAAGATTCTGATTAGTGGGTCCAGGGTGGGGCCTGGGATTGTGCATTTCTAACACGCTCCCAGGTGATGCTGATGCTACCAGTCCACAGGCTGCACTTTGAGTAGCAAAGGACTGCATATGTTCTTGGACAACTACAGTATTATTTTGGGTTTCTATAAGGTTATCCATGAGAAAGCATGTCATAATGGCCCCAAACAGGGATCAGGCACAGATAATCACTAACAGAGTGTCTAATACTTTACAGTTAGCAAAGTGCTTTCACATCCATTGAGTCATCCTAGCATTTCTGAGAGGAACCTAAACTCAAAAATGTTGAATCACTGGCTCAAGATCACACAGTCACATGGTCAATATGTGGCAAAGCCCAGGGTCAGATGTGATCTTCATCTCAGTTAGCTGTGCTCACACACAACCATGATTTCCACTGTCACCTTTGTGCTCAACAGGCCCCCAAATGCATCAAAGCCAGAGAAGACCTTACAGCCTAATTTCATTTTATACACAGCCATATAATTATTTATTTATTTAAAGTGATCTAAATATTGATCAAATCTAATGTTTACCTGTTAGAGCTGATTTAAGACTTCTATTTTCTTTCACATCTTTCAATTATTTTTCTGCTGCATCCTATTAATCAAGTACAGAAAAGCCTCTCAGACCAGCATGTGCATTTCCAGTTTCAATTGCTACAGTACATGAGTTCTAGATCTTAAAGGCCAAAAAGCATCTATTTGACTAAAGAGCTATAAGGCAGCCATAAAAATTATGGATCACAGAAATAAGCAATTAGTGTTATCTTCAATTGCTTTATTGGCAGTATTCACTCGTTAGAATAGAGGCAGCCGTAAAACAGATTGCAACATACTGTATAACAGCATATGGGATTTTACATTATAATGCTATTCTCTGCCAAGAAGTCATATTTTCATTTGAATGCATGGAACAGATTATCACAGGGTTTCCAGCATTAGAAGTGGATGACCCTCACATTTTTGTAGTTGTTGTTAAAAGGCAATTCCTGAAGTTATGACTAAATCAAAATAAATGCAATGGTGAATAGGGCTGTGTTACATGTCTGCATTCTGGGCCTTTAGAGACTGGGCATGGCATGGAGCTACAGCAGATAATAAAGTCAATCTCTAACGTGGTGGATAGAGGGAGAGTTGAGGGTTTGCCAGTCTTCCAAACCAGCTGGCGTCAATTCTGGAGGAAGCTGCTCGCCCGCCCATCTCATCATAGCTGAAGTGCCACAAAGGACACCGCTAGAATAGGGGATAGAAATAAAACAATAGGAATAATAATATAAAAAGGAACAGGATCTTTATTTAATATTGGGAGATGTTTCCTTGACATCCATTCTTGCCTTTTTTGCAGAACGTGTATGTGGATGTGTTTGTATATTGCAGATAATGTACATACAGGCCTTCAAATATACATACTCTACAACATGTTTTAACAGGCCAAGATGTCAGGAATCACCCACAGGCCTTCAGTTCAAGAGATTCTCCATTCCCCCACACACTTTACACTTTTTTTTTATAAGTTTCAATATGGTACACCTGGAAATAGGGCTAAATGCTTACTCCCCCATTTCAACAGTTCAAGTTGGAAAAAAAGTAGGAAAAAGTACATCTGACAGGTTCTCTTTCCAAGATCAGCCTGTGATGTAGCAAATGAAAGGCTTTGAAAGGCAGGATTGCTGAAAAGGAAGCTTGTGTGGTTTCAAATTAGAAGTCATATTGTTGCACTCACAGTTGATCAAATAAATATTAATCACCAAATGTATTTATGTCACTTCTCACGCAATTGCAATATATTTTAAATGTGTTTTTAAATGGTGGATAAAACACACTGGAAGGGCAAAAAAAATCTTTTTTATAGAACCTCAGATACAAGGGAGCTAGAGGCATATGTAGTAATTTACCAGAACAAAGGAATATGTTTGAATTAGTTTCTCTGCGCGTTGCTGCTATTTATTCAGATCTAGTAAAATCCAGATAATTTGATAAAGTCTTCAGAGTCCATGTGTAATGAAATCGTGTCGAAAGTAGACTTTAATCTCATGTAATGTTTCAATGAATTCTTGTATTCACCTAAGTAATTTTTCTAATCTTAATTCTGAAAATTATATAATTGTAAAAAAACTTTATTTTAAAAAAAGATTATCTTAAATGATTACAGAGGCAATAATAATGTAAAACAAAATATAACAGAGCTGCCCCTTTCTATATCCTTTGGTTACTTGGAGTAACATTTTCACTCAATTTTCACAATACTTATGTTTAATAATCTTTTTCTTTCCTGCATAAAAAGATTTAGTGGAAAGAGTAATCAGACTGAAAATGCAAGCATTTTGCAATGTAATCCTGCCTGTGCTATTTACTAGCCCCTATGGCTTTTGTACATTGTTTAAATTCTGTTTCAGCTATCATGAATTTATTTGTTAAGTTGTATAATGACCATAAAACTCACAGTCTCCTTCCAAAGTGTGCTTGAAAAAAAATTTCTTTATAAGTATTTCTTGAGTGGTTAGAGTAATTTCTCGTGAATGACTATCTTGTCTTATTTTTAGAGTGAGGAAAGTTTGTAGTTTCCCTGGAGCCAGACAAGGGGACTTCTTCAAAAACTCAAAATGAAAACAGGAACCAAAGCAGAGGATAGTTTATACTTTGAGAAAATGCATGCTGACAGACTGAGAGTGATCACCAATGTATCGCGTACAGTGAAACATCTGCCTTTTTTTTCAGCAGTATTTTCCCCAAGAGCCAACCAGTTTTCTTAATTTGGCAACTCTTGTGGTCCAGGCCTTACTATTGAGGTGACCCTATTATATAGAAATGTTCAGAAGTAAGCTCTTCCTGGGGTTTATGAGATAGCAAACTGAAGAGACTACATATTTTGTAAATGTCAATGAGTATGTGTGTGTGTGTATAGATCTTCACCAAAGAAGGTCTTACTGAGTCAGACAAGAGTGATACTAAAAGCTAATAGGGAAAATCTTTTTTATTTATTTATCTTGTCATGAAGTGATGTTACTTAATTCAGCATTGTTCAGAACAAAGCAAAAACGAATAGCATCTTGCTATATAATGACTAGTTTTTCCTTTCCTTGCAATAAAGTTAAGCATTTAAAAAAAAAACCCACAAGCATCTCAAATAGCCTCTGCTTTGCTGCAAAAATAGACTGTAATGAGAGTAACTCTTCCAATCAATTATGCAGCACGGTTTTAAGTGAAGAAAAAATTTCAACATACGTATCACTTCAAAATATATACAGCACATATCTATATGTACAAACTGCGTAAATTTTGAAGGGCTACGAAGCACATATTTTGCTACACCAAAGCTCTGACTGTTAAATTGATTGCGACTAAACTATAATTTCTTTTGCTGAAAAACCGGAGCAATATGAATCTTACTGGGATTATTTAAACTTAGTGGTGTGTATATACATCTACATGTGTGTGGGTATAAACAACAGGGTTTCTACAAATTCTCTTCAGTAGGCTCAGCAGTAACTACTCTTCTATAACTAAAATATTGCATTGAAATTGTCTCCTGTAAAAGTGATAATGCTAAACAAACATACTTCAAATTCCACAGTCTACACATGTGGACTCTGAGCCCATTCCACATAGGGGGTTGCTTAGTGTTGTTCACACATGTTTAAATACATGTAGGGTTCATTAAGAGTGTCCTTTAAGAAGATCCTTTTGGAAGAATAATTTGCCACATTAGCTAAAACAATGTACCTTGGACTTTTTCTTTTCTATATACACGCTGTATACATATACATTATATATATATATATATATATATATATATATATATATATATATTCATTTTGGCTGAATTCAGGAATGAGTCTGTGGGCTGAACGAATCGATCTGTCACAGAGCAACAGATTGCAGCTATAGACTGCCAACAAATCACAAGCAACAGTAGGTAATGACTAATTGTAACAGGAATGAGGGAACAGAGGGTGAGGATTGTTTCAGAAAAGGTAACAGGAAAAATGATCCTTTCCAAATGAAATCAAACATTTTTTGTTTTGATATTGGTTATTACAAAGTCACATACCAAACACAACACCTTCACTTTTCTCAGTGGTTCCTAGTGACGCTGGTCAATTTGGCAATTTCTAAGAGATTTGCTAATTCTCCATCATAGGTTCCCTTTTTTGTTCCTTTATTGCTCATTAACACTATTATATGAAGCATCTTTGAGGTTGCTCAATGAATTATTATTTTAACACAGTCTTTGAAGCAGTACAGCTAAGACTTACAGGAAACCTTGACTACGACTCCTACTTTGTGGCAATAAATAGACAACATGATCTTGGGGGAAAAAAAAAGAAAGAGATTCATGAAAATTTACAAAGTCTAAGAAACAGAATAGGCATGAACAATCATATCCATCTCACTTATTGGTTAGAATTTTGTGATTTTTAATTATCTATTCAATCTTGCTTCCTCAGACTTTCACAAAATACTTTTTTCTAATTATCAACATACAAAAACATAAATTTGTTTATAACTAAAACTTAACCTTCTAAAACTTTAATCTATTAAATTACTCAGAGTTTGAAGCACTGAGAGGAGTTAAACCCTGCACTAAGGTTCAAATGCTTTGGGGACTTTCCACAAGTTTTGCTTTACTGCAATGAAAATTAACAAGATTTTCTGTGTAGTTGAGACATAAGGATTTTGTGGCTCTCTATAATTGTGGAGATTACAAAGCACATTTTATATATAATATACATAGTTTTAAATGTCACTTATTTTGTTTAAATTTAAACATTTAATTGCAGCCAATATGAGACTGTCCTTACATGTATTTCAAATTTAAGATAATGATTTTCTTAACTTGATGTAGGCTGTTACCCCAATCTTCAGGTGATACAACCCATTTTGTCTCACTGGTATTTTAATTCCTAAATTCCCTGCTTTCTATGAACACATTTGAACATCAGAATTCATGTCTACTTGATATTTGAATCAAACATTCTGTGTCTCCCCATTATTCACAGAATAAATAAGTGAGGGAAGCTAAGGACTACTCTCCTTTCTCAGACATCAATAGATGTCCCTAAACCAAATTCTCAATAAACTCAACTCTTCCTGTGTTAGAAAAGAGCAGTTCCAGAGTGTCAAGTTGAAAACTTAGCCATTAAAGTAGAAACATAAAAAAGAGAAAGCATAATTTGCTGAAATAAGTATCAGAACCAGATTTGATAGGAGGAGAATGAGTAATAATGGTGAACAATGAACTATAGATCCTTGAAGCAATGTACAGGAGGAAGAGGAAGAAACTAAGGACAAATGAGATGGCACAAGGGCAACAATTTAGTGAGAGGGACCAGGAAATATAATAATAAAAACTAGAAACTTTGACGAAAAGAAGTAAACCTATAGCAGAAGCCAATAAAGCTCAAAGAGAAAATCAGAATTAGATTCAACATCATTTAAAATAAATCTTCCCCCTATTTTTCCAAAGGTTCTGATTCTTGAATTCTAGTAAGTAGCCTAGCCTAAATCCTAGTTGATTAGGGATGTAGATTTGGAATCTCCCATCTGTTCCTGAGGATCACATACATATAATTGGTGTGCACCTAAACCATTCTTTTGGTTTCAAGCTTCAGGATATTTTGGACAAAATGTATACATATATTAACATCTTGATAATTGAAAGTCTGCTAAAGCTATTTATATGATCATAAAACTGTTTGAAACTCTCAAAGGGCAAGCTGCAGACAGCTTCACGGCCCAGGTTTCATCACAGGTGCATCCCATTATCACCTATATCCTTTACATTGAAACACCAAGAAAGGGCCTAGCCACCCGACGGCGGCAATCCACTCTGGCCAGCATTTACATCTCAGGTGATGACAGAGATATTGTGATTAGCGAATGCCAGCACAAAAAGCCAAACACCATTGTTAAAAACAGAAGCCAGTTCACTAGGTACAACAGAAGCACTAGTGGTAATTTTCAAGAATTGATGAAACTACCAACTGAAGTATATTCATTTAATCATTCAATCATTTCATCATTCATCCATTAAATATTTATTGGACACCCCAAGTTCTTGTTTGAGGTATTATATAGTCCTACAGCTTTGGTGTCTTAGTATCATAATATGACACATATATTGGTGAAAATAAGCCAGTACAAAACAATAACAATTATGAACCATATCATCACCTCTTTACTCCATGTTCTGGCTATGCCTGGCCTTTTATGTGGGCCATGTTTATAACTATTTCATATATTTAAGTAATTTAAGTTGAATCCTTTGCTTATGCATAACTATTTCACTGATAGTCAAACTATAACATGTGCGATTTCTTGAAGCATTGCTCTCAAAATAAAAATATTTCCGGATATGTTGCACCTTAATGTGAGTGAATAACCTCTTGATCCCACCACCAAAAAAATAAAAAGGCTAGCATGAAAAGATTGGAATATTAGGAATAAATGGAATAAGGCCCTGAAAAGAACAGAATGGGAAATAGAAAACAAGGGATGACTGTGTTTAGGGTTATCCTCTCTTCTGCCACAGGAAACATAAAACATTTCAGATCTGAGTTAATTGGTTAATTTTTCCTATTATTTGTCTTGCCTAAGTTGCAAAGTGAGATTTTCCATAATTTCATGCTGTAATTTAGTATCTAATCCTTTCAATTCACGATTTTATAAATTTCAACCAAAATGAAGAATCTCCACTTCTGTGTTCTGTCTCCAAACAACTCTAATGGTGCTACCAAGATGGAGATCCAGATTCCACAATGTCCTGGGTATGCCCTTTATTCCATTTGCTCTAGGTTCACTACTATGCTTTCGAGGTGTTTTAACCAGAACTGCATTTTCACTTACTATATCGATTTAAGTTCACACATACAAAATATTTATCACATAGATGAGATACATATTAACATCATTATTTATCCCTATACCCACAAAAATACTTTCCTCATAAAATTAACTTATCTCAAGAGTCGTCAATATTATTCCCATGCATTAAGATAAAAATTATTTTAAATTGGTAACTATTGTACTTTCTATCCATGATAAGTCAACTATGAGCACAATCTGTGGCGGATTTGGGCGAATAAGCCACCAAAATAACAAGTACTTATCAAAAACCTGACTATATTTGATGTAAACTATATTTTATTTGATGTAAAATAAAAATTAGTAATTCAGCTGCTTGCTTTCTAAAATGAGGTTGTTTATAAATGTTAGGTAGCTGACGAAATAATCATAAAAAAAGAATGACCATCCCTTTGAAAGGCCCATGTAAAAACAAAACAAAGCCAAGCCTCAAATTTAGTCACTACAGACAAAATTTGAACTTTCCTTTGAGCCATATGGATTTAGACAGAATCAGAGCAGAATTGAGCATTTCCTGGGAAAAGTTACCCAACCAACCCCTACCGCTCCCCTTGGCCACCTCAAAATCATAGCTGGTGATCTAAAACTGCAGAGAGAAGTAGGTGATGGCCTCCAGGTTGCTACTGAGAGTAATTCTCACAGCATTCCTAGGTTCCCCCCTTGCTTTTCCAGAGAGGACAGTGGCTCTTAAACCCAATTTTGTATGCATGTGGTTCCTTCCAGTTTATGCTGCAGCAGATCTGACTTCTCTACTCTAAGGAGCTGTCCTTAGCCATTGCGACCTCAGTTCCTGCAGGTGACAGTATGGCTTTCTGCTGATTTATTAAAAATCTCCCATTTTATGGCTCCTGTGTACTCTCTGGGGTGTGATCATGTGACCAGTATAATGACAATCTGTCTCCCTGCTAACATTTCTCTACTTTGGTTATTTGTTTGATAAAGTGAGGAGCTTCCCTTTTGTTGCCCTTCATCAGAGCTTAATGTCTTTACTTTGGGATCAATATACTTTATGAATAATTTTATTTCCTTCTATTTTTATGGTCTTTTCTCCTCATTATCATACTGAGTTTATTAGCTGGTGCTGTCAGTATCTTTACCCTGTCATATGTTCCTGAGGTACAGTAAATATCACTTGTGTTGTAATTAATATGCACACCCTCTGCAGTAATTAAAGTACAGACCCCTTCAACCAGCTGAGCTTCCTACACTAATTCCACCTTATCTTCATAATGAACTTATTGTAATCTGAAACTACTACTGAATATTGTTCAGTAAGACTAGAAGAATGAAATCTAACGAGATGCAATAATATTTGTGAACATGTTAATATAAAAAATGAATTTAATTAGCCTAAATCTAATTAAATTTCCCATACAATTAAAAGCACCCCCCTTCTTTCCATTTTTTAAAAACTAACAAGTTTCATACTATTGCCCTTTCAGTTATTTCTACAAAGAAGCAGGCTGGACAAATGCTTTTTCCCCATAAAATACACAGAGGAAGACCTACAGAATCCAGAAATTGTGTCATTACATAGTGGAAAAATAGCTGAGTCCCTCTGAAGAACTACTATGTGAAACAGAAAACTTGCAAGAATTTTTGAACAAACCAGAAATCTGACCCTTCTAAAAAAGTATTGAACCAATTTGCCAGTTAAAGCTATATTTTTAAAATATTTAATACCATTTGTACATTTCAGATGCACAGTCCCTGTCCCCAAGAAACTTATGTATTTTTTATTGCATATAGTTAAGATGTACAACATGATGTTTTCATATACATATACATAGTGAAATGATTACTATAGTCAAGTAAATTAACATATCCATCATCTCACATTATTACTTTTTTTGTGCGTATGTGTAAGAGCACCTAAAATCTTCCCTCTTGACAAATTTCCAGTACGCCATAGAACATTATTAACTCTAGTCTTCATGCTGCACATTAGACCACTACACTTAATCATCCTACATTACTGCCACTTCTTACCTACATCTTCCCATTTCTTACTCTACCCTTACCTCAGGTAACCACTTTTCTACTCTTTGTCTCTATGTATAGTACTTGACTTTTTTTTTTTTTCAGATTCCATATAAAAGTGAGGCCATGCGTTATCTTTCTTTCTGTGTCTGGCTTATTTCACATAGCATAATGAAGCAGTATTTTGATGAAGGAAATACACATTTAAATTCAGCAGGTATTTATTGGACATCTTCTAGAAAGAACACAGACACTGGATGGTATAGAATTTCTAAGCAAGATGAAAAAGGGAAAGTCTATAACTAAATTTGCACCTTAATAGACAGGAGAGAGACCATTTTTTGCAGGGCACTGGCTGGTGCTCCAGATATTCAGTTTTGCTGGAGAAGAGGGTCTGTGTGAGTTAGGAATACAATAGTTCCCTGTGCCACAAAAGACTAAGTCAAGATACATAATTGGCACAAAGGAGAAACATGATGAGGAACTGCATGCACGTTTAATATTACACTTACCTTGTCACAAAACATTTCAATAAGGAAAGTGAGTGCTTAAAGTGCAGACCCACAATAGGCAGAGAGCTGGCAAACGAGTCTGAAAATTGGGTGAAGGGAGAGACATGACCACAACAGTGCCAATAAATGAGATTATTTCAAGGTGGAAAGAGGTTACCAGTAGGGTAGAGCCCTGCTTTTTAATTATTCACAGTAATGACTTGGATCTTGAAGTGAAAGGAATCATTTCCAAGATTGTAGTGCAGGCAGCACAGTACTCAGGACTGGTAGAACACACACACACACATACACACACACACACACACACACACACAGATCTACAACTTCCTGAGAATTTAAAAGTGGTTTAGTGGTCAAAACATCTGACAATTAAGACAGAACATTTACTCTACAGTTGTTGTTTTTTGTTTTCTTTAAAACCACCCCTGTTTATAGGAGATGAAATTTGTATGACATGTTACCTAACGGATTACTTGGAAGGAGGTCACCAAGTGATGTCATCCTTGCAGTGGCAGAATCCAAATTCCACCATACCTGGCACCTATCTGGCACTCTCAGAGAAATGATGGATTGGCTTCCCAAAAAAATCAACATCTCCTTCCCTACTGGACTTGATATGAACATAATTGGGAAAGAAGGCAGAAGCAGATAGGGCAGCATCCTAATTTAATACTATAAAATTATTAGCAGTCTTGCCTTCAGATATGAGAGGTCTTTGGACAGTGTTGCCCACCGAGACCCCCACCACCAATTCTAATGCCAGACATCGATTCTCTCCTTTTTTCATCCTGAGCCTCTAGTTAGAAATTACACTTTTCTTTTTTCTTAATGCATTAAGTATATAAAAATGTGAGAACCTAGAATCATCTCATGCCATTTCTTAATATAATAAAATGAAGAAAATATGAATTGTATGTCAATTATCCCAGTCAGAAGACACAAGAGTCCTAAGTAGAAATCTGATATAGTCTAGGGAATTATCCAAAAAAGCAAACTTCCAATATCTCTTCATAACATCAAGCTTCAGCAAAAAAAAAAAAAAAAAAAAAAAAAAAAAAAAAACACAAGTAATATGCTGAGATGTATTGCTAAAGCTATGTATTACAAATCTAAGGAACTAAAATAAAGTTAGACATTCTCTAGAAGAGTGCTCACTATATTTTAAGGAAGATTTAAATGTACTTCAAAAGGGCGTCATAGAGAAAACTGAATGATACTTATACCAAAGATAAATTACAAAGAAAATATGGACTGTTTTGCTGCTAAAAAATAAAACCAAAGTAGATGTCATCTATGATACCTGATAGGAACTATGTTTTTTAATGTTGAACCTGACCATCAAAAGGCAACCTAAGCAGAAGGAAATCTAATAGGAATGAGTGGAGACCCTAAAAGACATACTTTAAAAATTCCTCTTTGATCAAGTCTTAGTTAAGAGTGGCTTCTGAAAATAATTAAACCCAGAATGTCAGCTCATTTACAGTGAAGGCAAGGCATGAGTGTACTTGTGTATGTGTGTCTGTTTGTCTGTGTATATATATTTGTATACATGAAAAGGCAAAAATTCAAGCTCAGAAAATTAAGTAATGTGAAATTTCGTTTGGTATACTTTTCTAGTATATTAACTAAAAATACAATCAGGTGTATTTATATTTGTATATTGTAAATTTAAGTTTATTAATTTACATTTGTTCATCTTCAAGCTTTTTGTTCAATTCACTTTAGGACCTATGCCTAATGCAAAAGAATAGTCTCAAAGGGCAGCAAACTTTCTAAAAATTAACATCACTCTTGCTCATGAATTATTTTTGAAGGATGGTTTTCACTTTAGGCAAATATTTTATGACTCATGATTTATTTTACATACTCAGAATAGTTTGGGAGAAATGATACTGTATATACATTACTGTACTACTCTACAAATTATATGATAGTATTTATAACTCAGTGGATGCTTTCTTGGAAAGCAGATATACTTTTACTTGCTCAATGGTGAGGTTAGTGACAAAGTCTAGGAACATAAGTAGAAGAGAGTTCTATGCATGATTTGTACACCTGTGGGGTGTGTGGGGTGTTCCACTTTAAACCACCATTTGGTGACATACTTTTGACTGAATAACAACTTTTTAGCAGGCCGGATTCATAAGGAACATGTCATTAAGAAGGGTTTCATAGTGAGGCTCATGATGCCTTCTTCTGTCCCTCTGATCAGTTTATGTACTGTACCATTGGCCTCTTAACATTACTCCGTTAAAACAAAGAATAAAACATGACAACTGAAGGATAAATGAGATGGAAATAGATATAGAACATTCTAGAAAGCTTATATGCAAGAAATTCTTGAAAGAAGACATTAATGAGAAAGAGAAAGTTTGAAAAAATGGAAAAGCTAAGCTATTCTAGTTGTGTGTATACATATATGTACTGTATATATTTTCATTCAAAATATATATTCTCATTATATATGTGTATATATATATACTTATTCTTTAATAACTTAATACTACTGACGTGTATAAAATGCAAACAGCAATGTTTACCCCCTCTTCTTTCCAGAATTATGGAAATGAGTTTAACAATGTATACAAACACTTTACTAAATGTTAGTATTGTCACAATTTTCTTCTGCAGTTATCACTTTCCTTTGGTTATAAAAGCCTTAATTGTGTTACCATATGTAAAAGCAAAACCAGAAACTCCAGTTTGCCATCCTTTTATTTTCCAGCTTACTGAATGGGATTCTAAAATTAAATTTCAATGGCTTGCAAAACTCCTCTCTCAAAATAACACAGAAGTGATTGAAGGCATTTTTAGCTACACCTGCTCAACCACTAATTTAATGAGAGAATGCCTTAGAAATTGCAACTGGTAAATATGACCATATTGTTGGTATGAACTAAGAGATATCTCACAGTACAGGTAGCTCAAGTGGAGCCAATCTTTACTTATACTCTGATTCATCCAGCTTTCTTCATAGCTAGCTTCTGTTTCAAATAAGGAACATGCAGAACTGCTCGTTGAGTGCTCAGCATATTCAGACGTTCCTTCTTAGTCATGTGTTGAGGAATGGAATGGTGAAGGGCTAGAAAAATTACCCCGCCATGTGCATTCGGCATTAAGACAGAGCACCCGAAGATGAGCCAGAGCAAATATGTTAATCATAATTCTATATTACACGATTCCTTCCACCCAGTATTGTGTGGAGATATATGTATATATATACAGTAATGTTGTTGAAGCCACCATGGGAAAGGAACCAGATATTTGTTTTTAAGCATTATAGGCTTTATGCCTGAATTTTATAAATGAGGAGGTTACCTGTGTGCCTTTAAGAAAATACTGAGAAACTTTTCTGTGCCTCAGACAGAAAATATAAATTGTGAACTTATTTAATGGCTATACCTTCCAAAGTAGAACAAAAAGAGAGAGCTATTGAGGTAACTAAAACAAAGTAAGAAATACGGCAAAAAAAGAGAAAAATACTTTTCCCCAGGTCTGAATCCAGCAGCTGAGAACACACGAAGGAGATGAATGAACTGAAATGGTATTTGCGGTAGAAGAGATAGATGCTGAGCTGTTACTTCTTGTGATGCTATGAGGTATTTATAACAACAAAAGACCCTCTTGAAAATAAAATCAGCATCCAGTTTCTCAGCAACAAACAACCTTCAGACGCCACAAGCAGTATACTACCTTAAACACTAGTGTATCCTACAGATGTTACTAATTACTTCAGTAAAATTTTATATTTTATTTATAAGCTGCGTCTACATTCGGATGCTACTTTCAGACTATTATTTCTCTTAATAAGCTCCTTTACCCTTATCTATAATAATGAAGGTAAACCTGGAGAAAAATATTTTTCCAGCCTGTGTCTCCATCCTAAAATTCGAATCAAATCATAGCATATAAAACTCCTTAAGTTTGAAGTGTGGTACTTAGTTTTTAAAAAGGAAATATTGGCCGGGTGCAGTGGCTCACGCCTGTAATCCTAACACTTTGGGAGGCTGAGGTGGGCGGATCACGAGGTCAGGAGTGGAGACCATCCTGGCTAACGCGGCGAAACCCCGTCTCTACTAAAAATACAAAAAATTAGCCGGGCGTGGTCGCAGGCGCCTGTAGTACCAGCTACTTGGGAGGCTGAGGCAGGAGAATGGCGTGAACCCGGGAGGCGGAGCTTGCAGTGAGGTGAGATCGCACCACTGCACTCCAGCCTGGGCAACACAGCAAGACTCTGTCTCAAAAAAAAAAAAAAAAAAAAAAAAGGAAATATTAAAAGTAAGTTTTTTTCAATAATGATTTTTTTTATTTTCCAAAGAGTATCACGGAGTTCACTTTTCTCATTAAAAAATAATAATATGCATGTAGTGTTTGACATTTCCCTTGTGAGCTGCAAAATCTAGAAATCAGGGGACATTGCTGAAACATCTGTTATTTCACATTTTCCATTGAATGACTTCCATGATCAGATGGACAAAAGACAATTACTACCATGCTTTTAGTCATTAGAGGTATTACAGTTTCTAGTAGTTGGCTTTTTGATGTTTCTACTGTCTCTTGGTATAGGTATATCCAAAGTGGAACAGAGGTGATAAGTTATCTTAGTCTGCCTGGTGCACCAACTGGTATCATATTGGCCTGAAATATTTTTCTGTATGTCATAAAGCTCTTGGAATTAAGAGATTCTTTGCATGCAAAGTAAAACACAATCTATTGAGTTGTAACTCTGATGAAAAATTTTGCTAAAATCTGAGACACATTATTTGTCAAATAAGATTTTGTGTTCTATGCCATATCAAAGAAACATGTTGACAAATGAAGAGTTAAGTAAATTACACATGAGATAAGTGTTTGTCTTGATTTGCTTGGGGGTATTGTGTATGTGTGTTTGTTTTTCTTTGTTTCAGTTTGTTTCTCTGGTTTGTTGTTTTTCTTATTATGTCATGCCAAACAGTAAATTTGATAGATTAATTTTTTTTATCATGGTAGTGACCTAATTAGACAGGTTGTTTTATTTGCAGTTGTTTAGCACACAGTCACATAGACACAGCCTAAATCAAGACTTTACATATTAAAAAAGTTAGAAATTTTAAAGAAACACTACACAAAACTGGGTAGAAATTGGAGAGTTCATAAATAATCTACTCTGACTTCTGATTCCAAATCCACTTCCAAATTTTTGTTAGAGTTTTATGACATATTCTGTTAAAAAAAAAAAAAGACAAAAAGGTGTAAGAAACACTCATTACGTGGCTTAAAAATGAACATTGAAATCACTCTGCTGATTCTGTTTTCCACAGGCAGTCACAACAATACCTCCATCTCACATACCCTTCTTAAATGTGACTTGGACACTATTCCCATGAAGAAATGGTCTGTGTTTCCTACCTTAAAAATGGGCTGGCTTTGTGACTATTTTGACTAACAGTGTATGGCAGAAATGATGTTATTGACTTTTTGTGTCTAGGTCATTAATGACCAAGAAGCTTCTGCTTTGTTGGCTAAAATACTTGTTCCTGAAAGCTTGCAAGAAGTCTGACTGCATTGAGGCCACCATGCTGTAAGGCAGACTAAACCCACCCAAAAGAAGAAGCTGCATGGAGAGGCCATGAGGCTACACAAAGAGTGAGAGATGATGGCAGCCTCCAGCTGCTTCGACCTCCCATCCTCCAGCTCTAGCACTAGCTGTAGCAAACAACTGGCCACAACACTAGGAAAGACCACCCAGCTCAGACCATTCCCAAATTCCAACCCACAGGAATCCATGAGAAGTCATAAAACAACGGTTATGTTTATAACCCCAAAGATTTGGGAGATCATTTATAGATCATTCATTTATTAAGCAAATGTTTACTGAATGTCCAGTCTGTGCTGGGCAATATCCTAAGTACAAAATCCTGCAAGGATTTTTTTTTCTCAAAGGAGTTTAATCCCTCTATCCTCTCTGCTTCCATGGCTCTTTAGATTGGTAATATAGCATTTATTTATTTTGTCCATATTGGTAATACAGCATTTATTCTTTGGTCCATATTGGTAATACAGCATATTTTTCCATATTCTATAAGTTGTATACATGTTTGATTATACAATTCTAAATTCAGGATCTGATTCTGAATTAATTTTATTTGCCTCTATAGTGTTCCTAGTGTACGTAAGTGTTGATATATAGCACCTATCTGGATAAAAAAAATTGATGCAGGAAAATTAATACCATTAGCCCCCATGATACAAATTAAACTAATATTCTTGAGACATAATTTATTTAAAATAGCTGAAGTCTTCAACTGAAGGAAAGGAAATACTTTTTAAAAAACATTTGAATATGTGATTATTCCTTACAGCAGTCAAAAGAGAAAGAAATAAGTACTTCTCAAAGATTCTAGTAATTAGTAAACAAGCCACGAGGTACTTAAAATTACCTTAAACCAGTTTTATTTTGTCAAATAGTCTGTTACTACAGCTATAGATAATTTTGTTCTAAGTGTAGCTTAAAACTAAAATGTGCCCTGGATAAGATAAAAAGTAGTGTCTGGGCGTCCTCATTACAATCTTCCTTCCTACCACTAGTCTATGCTGTTGCACTAAGTACTGAATGCTTGTTCAGTGTCCATAGGAATGTGGGGAAGATCACTTTTGTCTAAGATTTGTTACTCAGATGGGAAAAAGTCAAATGCCTTATTTTTTCCCCAAAATAGAAGCAGGCAATTTATAAACAATTCTGTTCACGAAAAAATGTATTCTGAATTCATAAATTTAAGTTATATGTTTTAACTATGTCAATTAGAAAAGGAAAATATTATGGGGGTGGGGCCTCCCTTTCTAATTTTGAAAAGAAGGAATCTAATCGTCATAGTTAAGCACTCTTACTTACAATGTTGAGTTTTTGTTAATTTCTCCTGGTCCTCTGCCTCACTTTGATCTGCATTTAATGAGTTACAAATCCTGTGAATTTTACCTCAGCGCTGTTTTTTCCACCTAGCCCATTTTCTCCCCTTTGTATTAACACAGTTTAAAACCTCAATGTCTATAAACTGCACAGTGCAGGCAAACATGTATTGAGGTCTTATCTGTGTGATGTCTTATGCTAAGGGCTTCACATATGTACACTGTTTAAATCTTACACAAATATGATGAAATAAATTCTAAAAGTTTTCCTGTTTTACAGATGAGAAAAGCCATGGAGGACTTTTTTTATTATTATTTTTATTTTTTTGAGACAGAGTCTTGCTGTGTCACCCAGGCTGGAGTGCAGTGGCGCGATCTCGGCTCACTGCAACCTCCACCTCCCAGGTTCAAGCGATTATCCTGCCTCAGCCTCCCAAGTAGCTGGGACTACAGGTGCCCACCACCACGTGCGGCTAATTTTTTTTTGTATTTTTAGTAGAGACGGGATTTCACTATGTTGACCAGGCTGGTCTTGAACTCCTGACCTCGTGATCCTCCCGCCTCTGCCTCCCAAAGTGCTGGGATTATAGGCGTGAGCCACTGCACCCAGCTGAGGACTTTTAGAACTAAGTAATTCACCCAAGGTGATAGTCAGTAGTGGTGGAACCAGCATGCAAATTAGACAATGTGACTTCATAGCCTAGTATTCTACTCTACTTCTGTAACTTATGGCTGGAAGGGACTTTAAAATTCCATCTACTCCATGTTTAATGCTTCATTCTCCCTTAACATTTGCAAAGTTGTCACTAGCCTATGTTGGAACATCTCCAATGACTGTCACAATAGTCTTCTATCTCTCAACTCCAACTCACCCTATGCTCTGCCAGATTCATTGTTTTCAAAAAGCTTTTTGTCATAATCTCCCTCAGCTCAAATAAACAACTAGCATTTCCAAACAGAGCAACTACAACCACTTCAAACATCCTAAACTCCCTCCAACCCTGGCTATTCACACGCTTCAGTTCACAACTTCCATCCAGAATCCTACTTCTCTGATTGTCCTCATGGGGAAAGTATGCTATTTCCTTCATCCTACAAGATGCTTCTCACTGACTCTATCCATATTCTTCTCATCCTTCAAGAGCCAAGTCAAATCTCTCTGCTTCCAATAAGCCTTCCTTGCTACACTCAGGTAAATGTAATCTCTCCATCTCCTGGCGAATGTCTCGATTTCTTTTTCTGTGCTATGCCTGGTGTGACAGGGAGTCAGGGCCAAAGATGATCTAACAAAGTCAGAACATGATAATCCAAGTACAGAAGATCATTTCATCAATACAGGCTCTAAGAAACAGTCTAGCAGTGGGTGACTGCTAGACTGTTTATGAGAATATGAGAATGAAGGCCAAAAGGATTCACAAGAGGGGATCAAGAGATTTTCAAGGAACTTCTGGAAGGCAAATCTAAGGAAGAATCCAAAATCAGAAACCAAAAAGCATAGTCAGGAGTTAAAGAACTTAGAGGAGCAGAGCACAAAGTTGTACATCGTATGTGGTTTTATCTTGGGTTGATTCTTCTAGTTTTCATTAGGATGACCACACATCACGTATGATTTAAAGATGTTGCTTTGCCTCTTACAATTTGCACAGCTTTTGCCACCCATTATTTTCTATGATATATTATAATTATACATCTGACAAAATTCTGAAATTGGCAGCTGTGACTACTTATGCTCTGGACTTATCTATAAATCTTTTAAGGATAGTCACAATTTTGTCTGTGTCTCTCTAAGAATCTTGCAGTGTTTTAACATAAAACATGATGAAGAAGTATTTGATGAGTGTATGCATGCATATATAGATGGATGAAAACATTAAAAAAAAAACTTGAGCTCCATCATTTCTGAATGTATAACCAATCCTCCAAAATGTCTGAAGTTAAATGACTGGCTCTTAATAAACCTTTTTGAGGCATCCACACTACCATATTTTACTAATTACTAAGTGTTTTCTAAACTGTGTGTGACAGGTTTTTAGTTAATTGAACCAAATATTTGACCAGATTTGAAGAATAGTTTTTCAAAGTAGTTTTTAATGAGGCCATATCTTGAAGTTTGTTACCTGTTAAATTAAAATGAAGACCAGGCCTGAAGAATCCCTGAGCAGCTAAAACGAGTAGACCTCATTAGTGACCTAAGGGTTGCTGGGTTTGCAAACAGAAGTGAAACTTAACTTGGGGTGATTTCTTGTAAATGCCTATATTAGAAAGAAAACAAAACTTAAGCTCAACCAATCAAAAGTAGCCAAAACCTTAGAAAATTATTAATATAATTAGGGACGTTCCAATAGGATATACCAAATAAGGCAACTGTATAACTATAACCAATCAAATATTGTGCTTGCTTTATTTCTGTGTCTGTTCTGTAAAAGCCTCCCCTTTGCATTCCCTCAGTGGAGCTCATGAACTGCTTTTGGTTTGGAGCTTCCTGATTCTCAAGTGAGTGCTCAAATAAGCTCTCTAACATTTTATTATGCCTCAGTTTACCTTCTAACATAACTGAACTCATTTGACTTTGTATAAAGTAAAAATATCATAAACCTTAAAACTATCACCAGTCCAATATTTTAGGAAGCATTTTATTAGTTACAAATATAAACCACCCACCTATTATTATAAACTGAAATACCAAGAGTAAACTGAAGATCATCAGGGTCATAGCATCACTATGGAGATTAAGTACTGCACTCTTTCACTATCATAAGTGATGATTTACACTTGTAAAGAAAAAGATCCAGGAGAAATATTCAGCCTGAGTGTATGTGTGTGTGTGTGTTTTTTTTTTAGTTCTCAAAAGGAGAAAACATATAAACTGATATAGTACTGGATAAAACCACAGACTACTAGGTAGCTCAGGATGCAAAAACAAACAAAGATTAAAATTCCAAACTGAAATATTTGAGAAATAATTATCCTTTGGTAAAACTCGCTGTCAAGAAGAAATTCATTTTTAATCATGAAATATATTTTTCCTATGCTATTTTTGCTTTGCTTTAATTTGCTATTTAGCAATGCCTGAAATATTAATAATTTGTTTAATAAATTCCTTCTAACTCTTAATAGATTTTTAATGAAGAAATCTGTCTTAGAGATCTGTCAAGAATTGATATTGCATACTTTCTGAAAGCGTTAAATTATTGACCTGCTGAACAGTTTCATTTGAACCTCTATCCTTTTCTTGCCATTTTCTATGTTCAGATATTCTTAGAAGCTTTGTGAAATGTAAAAATTATTGATCCTATAAGCCATAATAACAGGTATTTTAGGAATAAGAAGAAAAATGTTTCATCCACATAGTCAATTTATAAAAAATAAAATCTTTTATTCCAGATTAAAATGGTAAATCACTTGTAATTAGCCTGATAGGTAAAATAAACCCATACTACTTAAAACCATGAATGAAGATAGAGGAAAAAAAAAAAAAACATTCCCATGGGGGCCCCATCGTTGATCTATTTTCTACAAAACACGTAGCTAGCTATTCCTACATGGCTGCCTAAATGCCAGAGCTGTAACAGCTCCAGATAAATCCCTTTCTCCATGCAGATTTTCAACACTGGGAAGGTCAGCTCTGGAGTTCAACAAAGTCAAGGTGCATTCTATCAGAATGGCTGAGATGCTGACTCCCCTATTGTACTCTTCCCTGGATTATGACAATAAAACACAACGCTCAGCTTTGAAAATAAGTAAACTTGTGAAGACAGGAAATGTGTGACACTTTCATACCCCAGTCTCTTCATGACCCCAAGAGAAATTCATACAGGGTTTATCTCTGTAGATTCTGAAGACAAAATGGATCATGACAAGCCTGTAATATTTGCCATCAATCAGATCTGGATTTAATCCCCGGCTTCTCTATTTACTAAATATTTGACTTTTTTATCATTTGTTTATCTGAATGTGTTTCTTTATAATGTTGCCAACCTTATAGGACTGAGGGAAAGATTAAAGGAGATAAAGTATACATTTTCAAATGTTTGTTACCCAACCCAACACATAATTACTGCTTAATAAAAACTGGTGGCTATGGTAGTGGTGATGGTTGATCCCTGCCCCCAACATAAGTTCCAAAGCCAATACTACAGAAAAGGATAAAATACTGTGAATTAATCCCTTAGAAAAGCTCTCACTAGATGTCATCCTCTTACACCTAAAGGACTAACCAATGTTGAGATTAAAACTCAGAGATTTGGTTTTAAGTCTGCTATGGCCCAGGAACACAGAGTTTGCAGACTAGGCCCAAATGCCCAGTTAGAACCAGTGAGCAATAAACAGTATTGGGGAATGATTTTAAGATTGGGTCAGACAGACTTGAGTTCTCTAGGGTTTTTTGGGTCTTTTTTTTTTTTTTAAACATTTCTCAACGGAGCAATCATGGGAAATCTGCTTGAATTTTCTACATCTCAGTTTCCTCATCGGCAAAATATGAAAATCATTACATCTCATTACTCTCACCAGTTACTTCATGGTAATATTAGCAACATAGTTTGGATTAAGATCCTCAGAGATATTCTAGATTATAAACATTATGCTTTTTGTGACTCTGTGTTTCAGAGTTTCCCAAGCTATATGTCCCTAGAGACTTGTTCTGAGAGATGCTCTGACAAAAGAAAATAAGAGTTAAGTTCCATGGTTAAATACATTTGGGAAACACTACACCCTTTTTGGAGAGTCACAGTTAACATTGGCATATTGAAAGCCTTGAGAAATCCCACAATATAGATAACACAGACAGTGCTGATGCGTTCTGATGGTCGCAGAAACCAGCTCTGACCAACCCACACCCATTGTAAGGAGTTGCTTGGCCCCACAAAAGGAATCTACTTTGTAACTATTAAGTGGACTTCCACCTTTGTTTTTCTCTCTTAAGGTTGCCCTGATTCATTCAAAGAGGTAAGTACTGGAAAGAGGGAAAATGACATATAAAAGAACTAGATAAACTTGAAGGCATTAGCATAATTCATGTGCATCAATGGAGCCTGGATAGTTTACAGTGATAATCACATACATTTATGGATATAATTGGGGATTCCGTGAACATTTAATTACCGACAAATGGACTGAAATCTGAAAATCAGACCAAACCAGACTGAAATCTGATTTCCAAGAAAAAAATCAGGAATGTTACTGTTGTACTTTTTAGGACCTAGCAAAACAGCAGGGCTTGTCAATTGATACATTATGTATAAGACTTAATGCTATTCACTGGGAATATAATGAGTTATAAGAGATAACCTGCTCTCCTAGAAGAGTGCTTAGCACATAATAGGCCTTTAGTAAATATTTGCTAAATATAGGAGCACATTAAAACACAAATCTTACTAGACCCCATAAAAGGGCTGGATTTACAATACAAAATGAAAAGAAGACAATGCAGGTATCTTTTATTAATGCCTAGTATTAACTGATATAAATGCACAGCAAATAGTTTCAAATTTTCAGCTAGATTCTAACTTCTCAGTTGTATAAAGAATTATGGATGAAATTAGCAAAAGAGCTAGTTTAGGTTTTGCATGGAAAAATCCTGCAATTTTGGTATAGATCTACAAGTGAACAAGCCATGTGTCTTATCTAATTAATTCAGACATCTGGGTTCATACTTTGAGTGATGACATGGCTGGTGGAGTCCAAGAGTGTCCAAGGGACACATTACTGCATGAAAACACTCAAAGTTTGGGTTGGAGTTCATCAGAGGGATAAGCAAGTCCAGCTTTCAGGAAGAAGTTTTTTTTTTCATACAAAAGACTAAAACTTGAAGATAGAGTGAAGTAATTAACCAAAACAGGGAGGAGCACAAATATAAGGGAGAAGAGCAGCTCATAAGCTCAGAGGCAAAACCCAGCTCAGAAACAGAGAGGAAATCAGAAAAGAGCTGGGAAGGACATATTTGATGACACCAAGAAATTTTGTATAAAGAGTTTCTTATGGTTTAGTTGGATATTTGTAATTTGACTAAAGAGCAACCGCTTTTGTTACAAGACTATTTTCTGGCAGCCAAATAGCTTCTGGTATGCTGGGAAATTCAAAGGAAAGAAAGAATTAACTCATACAAATTGCTTAGAACAGGAAAGGAATGCATTTACCCTTATGGGCTGTTATGGACTAAATATTTGTATCCCGAGATTCATATATTAAAACCCTTACCCCTAATGTGACGGTATTAGAAGGTGGGGACTTTGGGACATGATGGTGAAGCCCTCTTGAATGGAATTAGTGCTCTTATTAAAAAGATCCCAGAAAGATCCCTCACTCTTTCCACCATGTGAGGACACAGCAAGAAGACAAGCTGTCTATGAACCAGGAAGTGGGCCTCCTCAGACACTGAATCTGCTGGAACCTGCATCTGAGATTCTCAGCCAGCAGGACTGTGAAAAACAAATGCTTGTTGTTTAAACCATACGGTCTATGATATTTTTGTTATAGCAGCCTGAACAGACTGAAACATGGACATTCTAAGATCATGAGAGGCCAGAACACACTGGATTTAGAGCATGAGGCCTGGGATTCAATCTTGGCCCTACCAATTTATTTCTAGTTATTTTACATTACGCAAGTCATGGAAACTCATGAGTTTTAAAGACTTACCTAGTTGGTAATAGGTATTTTATAGGGATTACGTAAAGGTTAAATGACTGTCTATAAAAGTGCTTTTTAAATTACTTCCTACATAATAAGTGCTAAAAAAGTAGTTTTCCAAATATTTCCTCATCAAAAGATTATTAGCAATTTTTTTTATTTGATAGGAATGGGCCAATGTATCTAAATCTCCTTTTTCTGTTTTCAGGAGAAATTTATCTGCCAACTAAATTACAGAGGAATAAAGTTGAATAAGGAGGGCAGTTTTGTGGCCTAGCTAGATATCTCCCTGACTTTAAATTTTGCTCTTATATGTGATATTATATTGCACCCAAATATTTCTAAAACTTTAGATGCACTTTTCACTGCAACTTTACTATGATCTTCATTGTTTTGTTCAATATATGTTTATAATAATATTAGGATATTTTCACAAATTATACATACTCTTTGCATGTTTTAATACTGCAGAGACATATGGAATATTAGGATACCAAATTGGATTTTTTTCATGCCAAACTGTAGCATTTAAAAAAATACTGTTTCTATATCATATTTCAGTTTGAAGTACTTTTTAATGGGGCTTAATAATATTTATATGTAAGTATTTAATAAAGCCTTAATTGAATAAGTCATGTTAAAATGTAACCACAATAAGTTATTAGCTTGCCTATATAAATGCCAACAAAAATAATGCCAATTTACTTGTCTAATTCTTAAGTCAAACACAAAATTGCTTAATACATTAAAGAGAAAAAACGTCAACTTTTCAAACAAAAAATTTATTTTATAGAATATTAATGTTTTGAAACTTCAAGAATATCTACTTCTGAAATTAGGATCCTCTGTCCATTAGTCAATTAAATATATGTGCACAATTAAATACATCTGTATTAATTTCTAATAAACATGAGGCTCTGAGGTCAGATAGCCAAGATCCCAATGTTTACTATTTGTGGCACTTAACCTTACTTTTTTTTTTTTTTTACTTAGGTTCCTTATCAGAAAAAATGGAAATTATCTCATAAAATGACTACATGAATTGTATAAAGTGTTTTAGCCTAGGACATAGCACACAGTAAAACCTTAGTTAATATCAGCTCTGTAGGACTAATAATATAACTCTATCCCGATTCATTTTTTTAACCTATACAATTTAAAAATAATTTAAACTACATCAGGGCTTAGGTAAGGCCTGAAATATTACATTATACTTAATTATAGATGACGACCTCTGCTATGAGTCTTTTGTAAAGGTATTTTTCACACCTAGTATCATCCTGGTGCCTCATCTCCTTAGGTAAAACTTCTTCTTCATCCAAATATCCGAAAAGGTGTTAAACAACTCAGGTAAGACTTCTCATTTAAGGTCACTCTAATTACAGCAGCAACAACAGATGTATATACATTCACTAATAAAAGAATAATTTGTGGTTGTGTCCCTCTGAAAGTTAAGCCAGAAAATTTTAGATTTTATTGAGACATAAAAAGAAACATTGCTCTCCAAGTCAAATTCTCTATTATTAAAATATGTCATCCTTTATGAATTTCATAAATAGCAAACCCAGGAACAGAGTAACCATTTTAAAAAGTCTGGAGGGGATTCCATAACAACATTTAAATACATTACTACTCAAACAATTTGATTGGATTATAAAATATTTGAAGCTGCAGCTGTAGTTGTGATGTTTACTGTTGATTATTTTGATTTCAAGATCCTCACACAAAAAATACAAGTTTACAGAACTATTTATATTAAATAAGTGCACTGTAAAATGAAATGTACATAATATATATTTACCTAAAAAGGACAAAATTAGAAATAGCAAAATAAAATCATAGTTCTTTAAAAGTTCTATCTCCGAATAGGAATAGTTACCTCAAAACCAAAAAGACTAAATACATGTTCTAGTTGAAAATGTATTGAAAACTAAGCAAAAGACATTAATGTGAGTTCTGGTTATCATAAAACTTTACAATAGTGAACTACACATGATTCTACATAAATCTAAAAACATTTTGCAAACATGAAAGCATTTATAACCTAACAACTATAAAGTAATAATTCTATTATTTTATTTTTGAAGATCAGGCCCAGAATTATATAATGAGATTTGACTTCAAAGTGGCAAGTTTTATCAGCATGTTCTACCATCACATATTTAAAGAAATCAGGTGAATGGATTAAAAAAATAAAGATACAATAATTATATACATATGTGCTCCCTAGGATGTTAAAATAATATGGGGAAAAATGCAGCTGAAAGATTTCCACTGTACCCAACTCCACTT
Organism: Homo sapiens; assembly: GCF_000001405.40. NCBI lineage: Eukaryota > Metazoa > Chordata > Mammalia > Primates > Hominidae > Homo > Homo sapiens. Next base: position 57,915,570 of record NC_000002.12, read on the forward strand.
CCCTACCAAAGCAGAAGATGGAACAATGATGACTAGAAATCTTCATGAACAAGAGGAAATTCCAGTTTCTAACTGAAACCTTACTATAAACAGTTATCTGCGATAAGCTGTATTTGTCATAAAAGGCTCAAGCTGCATTGACAGATCTTACATCAGGGGTCCCCAACCCGCTGGGCTGCAGACCAGTACCGGTTTGTGGCCTGTTAGGAACCAGGAAACACAGCAAGAAGTGAGTGGTGGGCAAGCCAGCATTACAGCCTGAGCTCCGCCTCCAGTCAGCCCAGCAGAGACATTAGATTGTCATAGGACCACAAACCCTGCTTGTGAACTGTGCATGTGTGGGATCTAGGTTGCACGCTCCTTATGAGAATCTAATGCCTGATGAGGTGAAACAGTTTCATCCCAAAACCACCACTCCCCATGCCAGTTTCGTGGAATTGTCTTCCATGAAATTGGTCCCTGGTGCCAAAAGGCTGGGGACTGCTGCACAAGCCTCCCATTAGATGGAGAAATAAATACCTCCACAAATGTTTCAATCTTAAGAATACCCACCAAGGGCGGGCGCGGTGGCTCAAACCTGTAATCCCAGCACTTTGGGAGGTCGAGGCAGGCAGATCACTTGAGGTCAGGAGTTCGAGACCAGCCTGACCAACATGGAGAAAACCCATCTCTACTAAAAATACAAAATTAGCCAAGCATGGTGGCACATACCTGTAATCCCAGCTACTCAGGAAGTTGAGGCAGGAGAATCGCTTGAACCTGGGAGGCTGAGGTTGCGGTGAGCTGAGATCGTGCCATTGCACTCCAGCCTGGCAACAAGAGCAAAACTTCGTCTCAGAGAAAAAAAAAAAAAAAGACTACCCCCTAAAGAACCATAGTCAACTATGGTTCAACTATAAACAACTGCATTTAACTTCAGGTTAGCCTATAAGTTTTGAATATTCACTATATCGACCCACCCTCCTTAAGCCCAATGATAATAATAATAATAATAGCACTACAATTTTTTTCATGTATGATATTGGTTTTCAATTTTTTTAATTTTAAAAAACCTCTTTGTAATCACTAGCCCTATCTGACAAATGAGGAGGAAACTAATGCTTAGCTAATTAAGTATCTTGCCCAAAGTGATGCAGCTCATAAATAAGACAGCTTAGACCATGTGTTTTACTAAGTCAGAGTAGAGAAAAGCCATTTACAGAAGTGTGGAGTGACTGTCTGGCTCTGAAATTGGACAGATGTAATTTCAAATTCCAGTTTCAACTCTTTGGAAAGTCACTTAAGTTCTTCTACCTTCTGTTTTCTCATTTGTAGAATAAGGATCATAGTAGTATCTGCTTCATAAGGCTGTTGTGGGAATCAAATAAACTAGCGTATGTAAAGTACTATTTTAGAAGCCTAAATAAGTGACGAGTACATGAAACAAGTATACACAATGTAAATTTTCAAATGTACAATCTCTAGATTACTAGCTGATGAATCATTAGGTTCTAATTAGGGAAACAGATATTATCCCCTAAAATTTGCTAAAATTTGGTCAGGAAGTCATTTATGCCTTAATGTTGATTAATAATCCATGTATCTAGCTGGCTTGGAGAAAGAATACCAACAACCTGGGAGATAATTTGTTGAAATACAAGAAACAACATGTAGGAAAAGAGAAAGGTAAAGAAATTAGCACTAGACCTACTCACTCTCTCACTTGATCAGCCTTTACTCCCTTACCTCCAGTTCTTCCTTTTCTGCTTTTATAATGGGTGCTTGTGGTATAAATAAAAGGAGGTCAGGCTATAAATTCAGATGACCCAAATTGAAGACGAGTCTTTCATAGAGTGACCTGAGATCTCAATATCTCTGAGTCCTAATATATTCATCTGCAAAATAAAGATGATAATGCCTGCTAATACACCTCATTATGCATGTGAGAGCAGTTTATTGTATATGTGTATTTTATTATCTAAAATTAGTCATACTAGATCTAGATGTAGACTGGTTTCCTGCTTTCAACCAATTTATGACTAAAGTTTTTAGAGTCTTTAAAATATTTAGTTTGGGGTAATGGTATCTAGATATTTTAAAACTTTTCCAGGGTAGCATACTGAACTGCTTATGATATAGAAAATTTTCACTTTTTTTTGACAAATGAAATGTTGATATAGCTTTACTTTAATGGTTAAGAGAGGGGATGGCTTTGAATACTTTGGAGACACATGTGCAACCTGTGTTTTACATGCAATCCCTATAATATAAAGATCTTTCATATGATAAAGTTTTCTTTATAAAGAGAGAGGATTTACAAGTCACACATGAAAAATAATCTTGTTATTTTACAATCACAGTTTGCAGCTGCCCTGTATATTCATTATCTAGAAGGTAAAAGTGGACAAATATAATTTGGTAAGGTTGATCATTTCAGAGGTGAATGTAGACTTTGAGCTTTATTAACTAAAGTTGAAAATTAGACCACCAGATTTCAACTACCCAGCAGTAATTAATTCCAGCATGTGAAGCTTAATTAAGGAAAAACAAAATACATTGCAAATTGTTGAAAAGAAAAGCCACCAACTGATGACACAGGACTATTTAAATATATTAAAGAAATGGTGCAGTATGTTAAGCATGTAATTCCGCCAAAATTCTCCCAGCTTTATTTTGTCTTCCTTTCCATATCCTTGGCTCTCAAAAATTCATTCTCAGTTCTTTGGCAAAAGAGACTGGAAGAGACCAGAAGGAGGAGAGGGGGAGTGGACAGCTCATGCTAATGCCACTTTTCATTTCATTTTTTTTGAAAAATCCTACTTTGTGCATATAAAATATAGTTCATTTCTTATCCTGAGAGTTACCCTGGCATATGGCTCAATTGGAAACATCAAGGTTTTTAGTTCTTTTTAAAATGGCTTGCCTCTTTTCCAGACTTTTCTTCAGATGTATTGTCAATGCCACTTTTAGAGTCTATCACCCTTATATTGGTAAAATCTTCTTCACTTTCTGGCCAGGAAGGTACTGACCATGATGGTAAATGAATAGTGAGTGGGACAAGTCTGGGACTGATTGTGAAAGCACCCATCTAAGCAGTTCCTTTTTCAGATATTATTGAGCTTGTGTTGTTGGAGTTTTTAGTAATATAAAAGACATGTTCTCTAGACCCAGAAAGAAAACTCACTTCTACTTTTTACTCTTCTATTGAGTTAAGTAATCCAAAGGCATCTATTGAACTTTATAATCATGCTCTGAAATCTGTGTGCTCAATTGAAATTCCATGAGCCCAGTCTAATCCTGATCCTTCTTGATAAAATACAATGCTGATTAATGCTGATCTTAAGAACATTTCTATGTATCTGAAGATTTTTAAACTCAATGCTTGTCTGGTCTGGTATTGGCATGACTAAAATATCCAATTTTAAAAGTTGAATGTGGGCTGTAAGAATTAATATCTTGTTCTATTGACCATCTTGGTTAAAGTTTTTGGTTTGCAAAGTATAAAAATACTTGTCCAATTTAATTCATCAAGACTGTTCTGCATTATTCTGCAATAAATCCTGTATAGAGTCCACTGAATGCATGGAATCATTGGATAATGGCAGACTCTGCCCAAAGAGGGGAAAAAAAGATAGCCTAAAAGTAAGTATCAAATAGGGAAGTTTTGAGTATGAAATAAAAGATAAAGGTAAAAGAAAACTGGAGGGAGATAAGTAGTTTGTTCCTTATTTTTCCTAAATGGAAATATATTTTATAATGTTTTATAAGAAATATAAACAATATTTCTCTTAAAAAGTATAAAAAGTGTTATTCTTTGTTTGCAATGCTAAGAAAGTTTTCATGATACTTTATAAAAGTGACTTTCGATTTCTGGCTGGCAATAATTTCTGAGTCCTGAGGCAATTGTCAGTCACTTTTTCAAATTGGAGAATACAGTAATAGTTTTAAGAGTATACCCTTATTTTCAGCTCAATATGTACATTCTAAATCTAAATATCATGTGTAAACAAGTATACATAGAGCTTCATGTGACAAAAATATACAAGTTATAAAAATTCATTCACAATCAGTAACATACAAATGTCTGTATCCAGAAATTTTGAAGGACTGAGCAAGGTTATATTTTTCCTTAGCACATTCTTCATCTATTTTCCATTTTTCTTACCTGGCAGGCAGCTAGGGGCTACAGAGTCAAATAATGAAGTTGTCTTTCATTTGGATATAGTTTATTAATGGGAAAACACTAATCCATTAATCAACCGAAGTCAGTAATTTTTTTTTAAAAAGTATCTTCTTTGGTAACAGAGATCACATACCTCTTAAAAAGGAGCCATTATCTCCATGGGTTTCTCAGCTGAAGTTAAAAGTCTAAAAATGATTTTCATTCATTCCTCATTAATATGCAAAATTATTCAAATTAGATAGTAATTAACCATCTACTCAGTAGAAAACCTTTTCATGATAATTTATGATAAACTCAGTTGCCGCTTTGATTGAGATTGATTTTTGGTGTTGAGAATCTATCATGAATACAAAAAAGCACCTGAAAAAATATTTTTAAACACCTAACTTATTGCTTAGCTAATTACATGGTAGCCATCTTCACAGACTGTTCCAAAGAGAAGCTTATCAAATAAGATCAGTCCAAAAAAAAGCTGTGCAGTGCATACACTCTTCCCATATTTATAGTAAATCTCAGCCCAGAGCACAATGTCTGGATGCCTCTGTTTAGTTGACTCATATCATTTTTGGACTTATTATTCTTTAATTGAACTAACTGTCACACTCCAGATAAGACTGCCTGGCTAATACAGAATTTCAATAAGAGGCAAACTATGGAAATTTTCACATATCCTCACGATCAATTGATTTCACAGGATATTTTACTCAATGGGCTCAGTTATGATTTGTAAACAGACTTCAGTTTTACTTTCTGCAGATGAGAAAGAGACCTCAGTAGTAGGTGATGAAAGGGTGATTATTATGTGCTTGTCAGGCTAGTGGAAGTCATTTTCATTCTCAACAACAAAAGCTGGAGTTGAGTATCGGTGACCATAGGGTACGCAACTGGATCTAAACACTGAAGACTGCTATTCAAAACGTTGCTCCCTGAGAGTAACAAAAACATGGGGACACAGTTAGTGACCTTCTCTTAGCACTTTTTAAAAATACACAAAGGAAAACACCTACTACTTTCAGTACCTATTTGGTTGCAGAGATCAACTATGGGTGAGAATTCCTGTGGCAATAGATGAAAAGGAAAATCTGACTCCGGCTGGGTGTAGGTGGCTGCCTCAATCATCCACTTAAAAGCATTTTATTATGGGATCAGAATAGTACATGTTATATTTTGGCAAGCATTTTACCTTCATTTATATTTGTATGCAAGAAGATTCTAGATGTTATTTCATTTGCTCCTCTGTCAGGTATGATGGACAGATACTGAACTCATTTTCCAGATGAAGAACATGAGGCCTGAGTGGTGTGACTGTTAACGAATTAATCAGCCAGTTAGATGAGCAGGGACTAGGACTTGGTGTTCTTTCTGCTTTTTTCTTGCTAGCTACTTGGTATTTTTCAAAATGTCTCCCAAAGATGGCCTACATCAGAATCATCAAGGGTGCTTATTAGGGATGCCACTTGCGAGGCCCCTTCTCAGTTGTACCGTGTCAACCTCTGGAGAAGGCATCTAAGTAATTCCATTTTAAAAGTACCTGCCCAGGTAATTCTTAAGCGCGCACACACACACACACACACACACACTCACACACACACACATTTTTAATCCACTGCCTATAGCTTTGCCTCACCAAACAGTTGATCTCCCACCCTTGCAAAATGTATACTATATCTTCAGAGAATAGGACAAATGGGGAGTGATAGCCTTGTGTGGATCCTCCTGGGGATTGTCTGACAAGGTGAATTATAGGGTAATTAGTAAAATATCCTGAAAACATTGTTCTGAATTTTCCCAGCAATGTCTGAAAAGGTTAATTATATAATAATGAGCATAAGCTTAAACAAAGAGGAGAAAAATCTGCACTCAAAAAAGTAACACCTTAAAAAAATTTTGAAAGGTGCCTCTACAAAACTGAGTGAAATGATTGCAATTTGAAGCAACTGCTAGTTCCCATAGGGAACAGTAAGTTCCCAGTAAAGATGATATGTGTGCACATTTTTTTTGTTAGGATTCTAAAACAACAGAATTAGCCATAAGCTAGGAGTTGCTATGATTTATGTTTTATAATAGCCCCTCCTTTCCATTTCCTGGTCAGCATTCTGGATGATTATTTCATTTAGCACATATTCTCTAGTTTGTTTCTTTCGCTTCAAGTCTATTTTACATTTTCCTGTACTGAACTGCATTTGCCATCTGCTGATCCAATTACTTATACAATCCAAATCCTTTTGAGTCTGATTGTTTTGTTCCTCGTTATTTGCTCAGCCTCTAGTTTTAGTATCCTCTGTAAACTCTAAAATCTTGTTTTCAATACCTCATCTGAATTTCTTATATACAATACAACCCAATTAGCTCAAACTTTAGGTTTTCCTAAGGCTACTTGTGTTTGAGGGGATTTAGATAAGTTGAGTGGATTTGGATCCTAACAAAGTCCTGACAATTCACTCTTCTAAGGATAGCTGATCCATCAAAAATTGAATTATTGCCTTTAAATTGAAAGAAATTAAAAAAACAGGAAAGATACGCATTCTAAAATTCTGCTATATATACAGAAGACCAATATATTGTCGTCAACATCGTCATCTTTTTTCAGCTTTAGTGGGGTTTAATTGAGAAAAACTGTATATGTTTAAAGTGTACAATGTGATGTTTAAATATATGTATATGTTGTGAAATGATTACCACAATCACGCTAACATAACCATCACCTCACATAGTTACCTTCTTGTGTGTGTGTGTGTGTGTGTGTGTGTGTGTGTGATGAGAATATTCAAATACAATTGTAAGCTAAGAGAGTAGATTTTGAATATCCTCATCATGCTAAGAGAGTAGATTTTGAATATTCTTTTCACAATTAGTATACAATTTTTTTTAGATTTTAATTTTTGTGGGTACATAGGTGTATATATCTATGGGTTACATGAGATATTTTGATACAAGCATACAATGTGTAATAATAACATCAGGGTAAATGGGGCATTCATGACCTCAAGAATTTATTCTCTCTTTGCGATACAAACAATCCAATTATACTTATAGTTATTTTTAATACATAATAAATTATTGTCGATTATAGGTACCCTGTTATGCTATCATAATACTAAATTTTATTCATTCTATTTTTGTACTCACTAATCATTCCCACTCCTCTTCCCAGCTTCTAGTAACCGTAATTCTATATATATCTCCATGAGTTCAATTGTTTTAATTTTTAGTTTTCACAAATAAGTGAGAATATGAGAAGTTTGTCTTTCTGTGCCTGGCCTATTTCACTTAACTTAATGTCCTCCAGTTCCATCCATGTTGTTGCAAATGACAGGATCTCATTTTCTTTTACGGCTGAATAGTACTCCATTGTGTATGTGCACCACATTTTTGTTATCCATTCATCTGCTGATGGACACTTAGGTTGCTTCCAAATATTGACTAGAGTGAATGGTGCTGCAATAAACATAGAAGTGCAGATATCTCTCCTATAAACTGATTTCTATTCTTTGGGATATATACCTAGCTGTGAGATTGCTGGATCATATGGTAGCTCTATTTTTAGCTCCATTTTTTCTTAGGAACTTCCAAACTGTTCTCCACAGTGATTGTACTAGTTTACACTCCCACCAATACTGTATGAGGGTTCTCTTTTCTCCACATCCTCACCAGTATTTGTTATTTCCTGTTTTTTAGATAAAAGTCATTTTAACTGAACTGAGATGATAACTCTTTGTAGCTTTGATTTGCATTTTCCTGATGACCAATGATGTTGAGTACCTTTTCATATGCCTGTTTGCCATTTGTATGTTTTTTTTTTGAGAAATGTCTATTCAGATCTTTTGTCTGTTTTTAAATCAGATTATTAGATTTTTTCCATAAAGTTGTTTGAACTTCTTATATATTCTGATTATTAATCTCTTGTCAGATGCATAGTTTGCAAATATTTTCTTCCATTCTGTGGGTTGTCTCTTCACCTTTTTTTGTTTCCTTTGCTGTGCTGAAGCTTTTTAGTTAGTTGTGATCCCGTTTATCCCCTTTTGCTTTGGTTGCCTTTGCTTGTGGATATTACTCAAGAAATTTTTGCCCATTACAATGTCTAGAGAATTTCTCCAAGGTTTCCCTTTAGTAGTTTCAGTTTCAGTTCTTAGATTTAAGTCTTTAATTCATTTTTATTTGATTTTTGTATGGGGAGAGATAGGGGTCTAGTTTCGTTCTTATGCGTATGGATATCCAGTTTTACCAGCAACATTTATTGAAGAGACTTTCCTTTCCATAATGTATGTTCTTGGCACCTTTGTCAAAAATGAGTCTATTCTAGATGTGTGAATTTATTTCTGTGTTCTCTCTTCCGTTCTTCTGATCTCTGTGTCTGTTTGTATGTCAGTACCATGCCATTTCGGTTACTACACCTCTGCTGTATACTTTGAAGTCAGGTAATGTGATTCCTTCAGTAGTGTTCTTTTTGCTTAGGATAGCTTTGGCTATTCTAGGTCTTTTGTGATTCCATATAAATTTTAGAATTATTTTTTCTATTTTGTGAAGAAAGTCATCGGTATTTTGATAGGGACTGCATTGAACTTGTAGATTGTTTCCACTAGAATGGACATTTTAACAATATTGATTCTTCCAATCCAAGAACTTGGAATGCCTTTCCATTTTTTTGTGTGTCTTCAATTTCTTACATCAGTGTTTTATAGTTTTCATTGCAGAGATCTTTCACTCCTTTGGTTAAGGTAATTCCTAGATATTTTATTTGTAGCTATTATAAATGAGATTAATTTCTTGACTCCTTTCTCATATTGTTCACTTTTGGCATATAGAAATGCTACTGATTTTTGTATGTTGATCTTGTATTCTGAAACTTTACTGAATCTATTAGTTCTAATAGTTTTCCTTTAGGTTTTTTCAAATATAAGATCACATCATCTGCAAGTAAGGATAATCTGATTTCTTTCTATCCCATTTAGATGCCCTTTACTTCTTGCTGTTGTCTGATTGCTCCAGCTAGCCTTTCCAGTAATACGTTGAATAACAGTGGTGCCAGTGACCATCCTTGTCATGTTCCAAATCTTACAGGAAAGGCTTTTAGTTTTTCCCCAATCTATGTGATACTAACTGTGGGTCTGTCATATATGGCCTTTATTATGTTAAGGTATGTTGCTTCCACCTCCAGTTTTTTTAGGGTTTTTTTTTAATCATGAAGGGATGTTGAATATTATCAAATGCATTTTCAGCATCGATTGAAATGATCATATAGATTTTTGTTCTTCATTCTGTTGATATGATGTATCACATTCATTGATTTGCCTATGTTGCTCCATCTTTGCATCCCTGGGATCAATTCCACTTGGTGATGATTAGTGATCTTTTTAATGTGTTGTTGAATTTGTTTTAGTATTTTGTTGAGGATTTTTCCATCCATATTCATCAGAAATATTGGCTGGAAGTTTTCTTTTTTTGATATATCTTTGTCTGGTTTTGGTATCTGGGTAATACTGGCCTTGTAGATGTGTTTGAAAGTATTCCCTCCTGCTCTATTTTTTCAAAATAGTTTGAGTAATATTGATATTAGTTCTTCAAATGTTTGGTAAAATTTGGCAGTGCTGCCATTGGGTTGTAGGCTTTTCTTTGCACATTTTATTATGGCTTCAATTTAATTACTTGTTCTTGGTCTGTTCAGGTTTTGGATTTCCTTATGATTCAATCTTGGTAGATTGTATGTGTCTAGGCATTTATCCATTTCTTCTGGATTTTCCAATTTATTGGCATATAGTTGCTTATAGTAGCTTCTAATGATCCTGCAAATTTCTGTGGTATTTGTTGAAATTTTTTCTTTTTCATTTCTGCTTTTATTTATTTGGGTCTTCTCTCTTTTTTTAATAGTCTGGCTCAAGGTTTGTCTACTTTATCTTTTTAACAAATCAACTTTTCATTTTGTTGATCTTTTGAATTTTTTTCATTTCAGTTTCATTTATTTCTGCTCTGATTTATTATTTTTCATTTCAGTTTTATTTATTTTTCTCTAATCTTTATTATTTCTTTTCTTCTAATTTTCAATTTGGTTTGCTGTCTTGATTTTCTAGTTTTTTAAGATGTATTGTTAGGTTGTTCATTTGAGGTTTTTGGCTTTCTTGATATAGATGTGTATAGCTATAAACTTTCCTCTTAGCGCTGCTTTCACTATATCCCATAAATTTTGGTATGTTCTGTTTCCATTATCATTTGTTTGAAAAAAATGTTTTAATTTCCTTCTTAATTTTTTCATTGACCCACTGGTCATTCAGGAGCATACTGTTTAATTTCCATGTGTTTTTATAGTTAATACAATTTCTCTTGATACTGATTTTTAGTTTTATTCCATTGTGGCTAGAGAAAATACCTGATATAATTTCTTTTTTTTATTTTTTAAGACTTTTTTGTGAGCTAAAATATAGGGTATCTTTGAGAATAATCCATGTGCTGAGGAAAAAATGTATATCCTGCAGCCATTGAATAAATTGTTCTGTATATATCTGCTAGGTCATCTTGTTCTATAGTGCAGATTAAGTCTAATGCTTTTTTGTTGATTTTCTGTCTGGATGATCTGTCCAATGCTGAAAGTTGGGTATTGAAGTCTCCAGCTACTACTGTATTGGGGTCTCTCTTTAGCCTTAATAATATTTGCTTTATATATTTGGGTCCTCCAGTGTCCTCCAGTGTCACATATATATATACATATATATATGTGTGTGTGTGTGTGTGTGTGTGTGTGTATAGTGTATATATATACAATTATATATATATATAGTGTGTGTATATATATAGTGTGTGTGTGTATATATATAGAGAGAGAGAATTGTTTTATCCTCTTGCTGAACTTACCCCTTTATCATGATATAATGACCTTATTGTTGGCCTCTTTTTACAGTTTTTGTCTTGAAATCTATTTTGTCTGATAAAGCAAAGCTACTCCTGCTCTGTTTTGGTTTCCACTGCATGGAATATCTTTTCCATCCCTTTTTTTAGTCTTTTTTTCATCTTTTTTTTTCAGTCTTTATAGATGAAGTGTATTTCTTGTAGGTCACAGATCACTGGGTCTTGTTTTTCTATCCATTCAGCCACTCTGTGTTTTTTGATTAGAGTGTTTAGTTTTTTTATATTCAATGTTCTTATTTATAAGTAAAGACTTAATCCTACCATTTTGTTATTTGTTTTCCAGTTGTTTTGTAGACTTCTTTCTTTCCTTTCTTCCTGTCTTCCTTTTAGTGAAGGTAGTTTTCTCTGGTAATATGTTTTAATTTCTTGTGTGTGTGTGTGTGTGTGTGTGTGTGTGTGTCTGTCGTATTTTTTTTAGGTTCCCAGGAGGCTTCTGAATAATATCTTATAACCCATTATTTTAAATGGATGACAACTAAAGATTAATTGCATAAACAAACAAGCAAAGAGAAAACTAATAAAACTCTACACTTAAACTTCTTATCCCCACTTTTGAACTTTTTGTTGTTTCTATTTATATTTTATTGTATTGCCTATGTCTTGAAAAGTTGTTGTAGCTATTATTTTTGATCTTTTCATATTTTAGTCTTTTTTTTTTTTTTTGAGATGAAGTCTCGCTCTATCGCCCAGGCTGGAGTCCAGTGGCGTGATCTCGACTCACTGCAACCTTTGCCTCTCGGGTTGAAGAGATTCTCCTGCCTCAGCCTCCTGAGTAGCTAGCATTACAGGTGCATGGCACCATCCTGGGTTAATTTTTGTATTTTTAGTAGAGACGGGGTGTCAGCATGTTGATCAGGTTGTTCTTGAACTCCTGACCTCATGATCCACCTGCCTCGGCCTCCCAAACTGATGGGCATATTTTAGTCTTTCTACTCAGGATATAAGTAGTTTATGAACCACAATTACAGTTATAATATTCTGTGTAACTATTGCCACTGAGTTTTACACCTTCAGATGATTTCTTACTGCTCATTAATGTCTTCATTTTTTCAGATTAAAAAACTCCCTTTAGCATTTTTTGTAGGACAGGTCTGGTGTTGATGAAATCCCTCAGCTTTTTTGGTCTGGGAACGTCTTTATTTCTTCTTTATATTTGAAGGATATTTTCACTGGATCTATAATTCTAGGATAAAAGTGGGGTTTTTTTCCTTCAGCACTTTAAATACATCATGCCAGTGTTTCCTGGCCTGTAAGTTTTCCACTAAAAGTCTGCTGCCAGATGTATTGAAGTTCCTTCCTATGTTATTTGTTTATTTTCTCTTGCTTTTAGGATACTTTCTTTATCATAGATCTTTGAGAGTTTAATTATTAAATGTCTTCTTTGGGTTAAATCTCCTTGGTGTTATATAACCTTCTTGTACTTGACTTTTGATGTCTTTCTCTAGGCTTGGGAAGTTCTCAGTTATTATCCCTTTCAATAAACTTTTTACTCCTATCTCTCTACCTTCTCTTTAAGGCTAATAATTTAGATTTGCCCTTCTGAGGCTATCTGGCAAACCTTGTAAATAGATCTTGTAGATATTCATTTTTTAAAATTATTTTTTCTTTTGTCTTCTGACTGTGAATTTTCAGATAGCCTGTCTTCAAGCTCACTAATTCTTCTTCTGCTTGATTAATCCTGCTGTTAAAAGACTCTGATGCATTCTTTACTATGTCCATTGCATTTTCAACTCCAGAATTTCTGCTTGATTTTTTAACTATTCAATCTCTTTGTTAAATTTATATGATAGGCTTCTGAATTCTTTCTTTGTGTTATCTTGAATTTAATTGAGTTTCCTCAAAACAACTATTTTGAATTCTGTTGGAAAGGTCATATATCTCTGTCTCTCCAGGATTGGTCCTTGCTGACTTATTTAGTTCATTTGGTGAGGTCAGGTTTTCCTGGAAGGTCTTGATGCTTGTGGATATTTGTCAGTTTCTCAGCATTCAAGAGTTAAATATTTATTGTAGTCTTCACAGTCTGGGCCTGTTTATACCCATCCTTCTTTGGAAGGCTTTCTCAGTATTCAGTATTCAAAGAAATTTAAGTGTTATAATCTATGTTTTTAGTCTCTGCAGCCATATCTGCATCAGGTGGCATCCAAAGCCCAGTAATGCTGTGGTTCTTGTAGACTCATAGAAGTACTACCTTGGTGGTCTTGGATAAGATCCAGAAGAATTCTCTAGATTACCAGACAGAGATTTTTGTTCTCTTCCCTTACTTTCTCCCAAACAAGTGGAGTCTCTTTCTCCATGTTAAGCTTCCTTGAGCTGGGGGAGGGATGACACAGCACCCTAGTGGCCACCAACACTGGGACTGTGCTGGGTCGGACCTAAAGCCACCATGGTCTGTGTCTTGCCCAAGGCCCACAATAACCACTGCCTGGCTACCACCTATGTTTGCTCAAAGCCCAAGAGCTCTACAATCCGCAGGTAGCAAAGCCAGCCAAGCTTGTCTCCTTGCCTTTAGGGCAGTGCATTCTCCCTGGTCCCAGCTAGGTCCAGAGATGCTGTCCAGGAGCCAGGACTTGGAGTCAAAAATCTCAGGAATATACCTGGTGCCTTATTCTACTGTGGCTGAGTTGGCACCCAAGCCACACGACAGAGTCCTTCTGACTTTTCTTTCCCCTTTCCATAAGCAAAGCAGCATCTCCCCAAGGCCACCACTGCCTTAGGCCTATGGTGAGTACTGCCTAACCACCACCAGTGTTCACTCAAGGCCCACGTGTTCTTTAGTCAGCTTTTGGTGATTGCCTCCAGGCCTAGGACCCTCCCTTAAGGAAAGTGGGGTTCCCTCTGGCCTAGGACTGTTCTGGAAATGCTGTCCAAGAACCAAGGCCTGGAATCAGGGACTGCAAGAGCCTGCTTGGTCCTCTACCCTACTGTGGCTGAGCTGGTACCTAAGGTGGAAGACAAAGTCCCCTTTACTCTTCTCTCTCCTTTTCCCAAACAGAAGGAGTCTCTCCGTGTAGCCACCAAAGCTGGGAATGTGCTGGATCTCACCTGAAGCTAGTACATCTCTGAGTCCTACTCAAGGCCCACAGAAAGTACTGCCTGGGTGTCATTGCTGATTATTCAGGGTCCAAGGCTCTTTAGTCAGCAGGTGACGAATCCTTCTAGAATTAGGTCCTTCACTTCAAGGCAATGGGTTCCTTTTTGGCCCAGGGAGTGTCTAGAAATGTTGTCCAGAAGCTAGGGCCTAAAATGGGGGCTGTTGGACTCTGCCTGGTGCCCTATCCTACTGCAGCTGAGCTAGTATCCAGCTTGCAAGGCAAAGTCTTCTTTACTCTTCCCTCTCCTCTCCTCAAGCAGAGGACAGGAGTTTCTCCCAGAGCTGTGAGCTGCACCACCTGGGGCTGGGGAAGAGTGGCAAAAGCACTGCCTTGGCTACCCCATCTGGTGTCTCACTAAGTTGTGGGCCCTGTAGATCTCCTGGCCCCAAGCCCAGCACAGCACCAGGACTTGCCGAAGAATTGCAGACCTTGTGGCCTACATGGCCTTTCAAGTTTCTTTGGTACTCCAGAGTACTTTAGCCTGCTATGAAAAGGCTTATCGGAACTCAGGTTCTAACTATTGTGATGGGCAATTCTCCTCTGGCTAGGGCTTGTCTAAATGCTCCTCTGTGTGTGCCAGCTGAGTTCTGCCCCATGTTGCTTTCCACTGTGACAGTACAACTCTGAGTTCCAATGCAAAATTCCACAATCACTGTGCGCTCCCTCCCCCAAACACATAGATTCTCTTTCTGGGCCACGCAGCCACTGCCAGGGGATTGGGGAGGGGTGGCATCAGCAATTCAAGACTGTCTTTTCTATCTCCTTTAGTGCTTCTTTCTGTGATACAAAGTTAAAACCTGGTACTTTGATTGCTTGCTTGGTTTTTAGTGGTTATAAAGGTGCATTTTTGTGTGGACGTTTGATTCAATTTGGTGTCTGTGAAGACTTCTATTTAGCCGTTTTGCTCCACTTCCAAGCCCAATATATTAACTACAGTCACCATGCTGTACATTAGTTCTTTGGAATGTATTCATCTTACAACTGAAAGCTTATACCCATGGACCAGCATCTCCTCATTTCTCCCCCAGCCCACACCCAAACACTAGCAACCACCCCATCTATTCTTGTTTCTATGAGTTCAATTTTTTAAAATACCACATATAAGAGATATCATGCAGTATTTGTCGTTCTGTGTCTGGCTTATTTCACTTAATATAATATCCTCCCGGTTTATCTATATTTTTGCAAATGAGAGGATTTTCTTCTCTTTTAAAGCTGAATAATTTTTATTACATATACATGTACTGAGTATTTTTATTATATATTCATACATATTATATATTATGCATTCATATATTATATATTCATGTCCACTCATCCATCAAGGGACAATTAAGTTGCTTCCATATCTTGACTAGGGTGAATAATGCTGCAATGAACATGGGAATGTGGGTATCTTTTCAGGATAGTGATTTTTTTTTGTACGTATACCCAGTAATAAGACGGCTGGACCATACGGTAGTTTTATTTTTGATTTTTTGAGGATATTTATTGTTTTTCATAATGGCTGTACCAATTTACATTCCCACCAAAAGTGTACAAGAGTTCCCTTTTCTTGACATCCTTGGCTGTTATCTTCTAAATTTTTTATTACAACCATTCTACAAGATTTCATTATGGTTTTGATTTCAATTTCCCTGATGATTAGTGATGTTGAGCCCCTTTTAATACACCTATTGGCTATTTGTATTCTTCTTTTGAGGAATATCTATTCAGATCCTTTGCCCAATTTTTAATGTTTACTTGATTTTTTGCTACTGAGTTGTATGAGTTCTCTAGATATTCTGAATATTAACCCCATATCAGGTATACGGTTTGCAAATATATTATCTCATTCCATAGTGTGCCTTTGCCTTTTGTTGACTGTTATTTTGCTGTGCAGAAATGTATTAGTTCGATATAGTCCCACTTTGTTTTTGCTTTTGTCACCTGTGGTTTTGGTATCATATCCAAAAAATTATCACCAAGATCGATGTCATGGACATTTTCTCATTTTCCTCTAAGAGATTTATAGCTTCCAATCTTGTGCTTCAGTTCTCTATCCATTTTGAGTTGATTTTTGTGTGTGGTGTAACATAGGGATCAACTTTCTTTTTTTTTTTTTTTGGTATATGTATATTCAGTTTCCTCAACATCATTTATGGAAGAGACTACCTTTTACTTATTGTGTATTTTTGGTGCCTTTGTCAAAAATTAGTTGAATGTACGTACATAGGTTTGTTTCTGAACTTTCTATTCTGTTGCATTGATCTATACGTCTGTTTTTATGGCAGTACCATGCTGCTTTGATTACTATGGATTTGTAAATAATTTGAAATCAAGAAGTGTGATGCCTACTTCTTTGTTTTTCTTACTCTATAAGATTGCTATAGCTATTTATGATCTTTTGTGTTTTCATACAAATTTTAGGATTTTTCTATTCTATATATAGCATTTTTTTTCCTTGTTTTGTCCTTGTCTGGCTTTGGTTTGAAGGTAATGCTAGCCTTGTAAGATAAACTAGTAGTGTTCCCTCCTCTTCAATTTTTTGGAAGAGTTTGAGGAAGACTGGTATTTCTCTTTAGATGTCTGATGGAATTTACCAGTGAAGCCATCCAGTTCTGAGCTCTCATTTTTCCGGAGATTTTTGATTACCTATTCAAAATCCTTACTCGTTATTCATCTGTTCAGATTTCACCTTTTTAAATATAAAATTCATCTTATTGATTATCTTTTTAAAGGAATTTATCAACTTATTCTAGGTTATCCAATTTCATTGCCATATAATCATGCGAAGGAGTTTCTTATGACTGAATTTCTGTGGAATCAGCTATAACATCTCCTCTTTCATTTCTGACTTTATATTTTATTAACCTTCTCTTTTTTTACTTAGTCCAGCTAAAGGTTATGTTGTTTCTCTTTTTTAAAATTTTACTCTTTTAATTAATCTTTTCTATCATTTTTCTAGTCTCTACGTGATTTATTTCTGCTCTAATCTTTATTATTTCCTTTATTCTACTAACTTTGGGCTTAGATTGTTTGTTCTTCTTTATCTAGTTCCTTGTGGTGTAAACTGAAGTTTTTATTTGATATTTTTCTTTGTTCTTCATGTAGGCATTTAACGTTATAAACCTCCCTTAGCACTGCTTTTGCTGCATTCCATAATTTTGGTATTTTGAGTTTCAACTTTCATTTGTCTCAAGATAATTTCTTATTTCTTTTTTGACCCTTTTGTTTTCGGGAGCATGTTGTTTAATTTCCATATATTGTGAATATTTCAATTTTATTCCTGTTATTGATTTCTAGTTTTGTATTTTTATTTTTGGAAAAGATCCTTGATATGGTTTCAGTCTTCTTAAACTTTATATGACTTATTTTGTGGACTACGATATGACCTATTCTGCAGAATGATCTGTGTATGCCTAAGAAGAATATGTATTCTGCTGTGTTTGGATGAAATGATCTGTATATGTCTTTTGGGTCTAAAGGGTAGTTCAAGTCCAACATTTTGTTGTTTATTTTCTTTCTATATGATCCATTTATTGTTGAAAGTTGGGTGTTGGAGTCATCAATTACTGTATTGCTATTTCTTATTTCTTTCTTTTTCTTTTTTTTTTTTTTTTTTTTTTGAGGCAGTATCTCACTCTGTTGCCAGGCTGGAGTGCAGTGGTGCAATCTCGGCTCACCACAACCTCTGCCTCCCAGGTTCAAGCGATTCTTCTGCCTCAGCCTCCCGAGTAGCTGGGATTACAGGCACCTGCCACCACGCCCAGCTAATTTTTGTATTTTTAGTAGAGACAGGGTTTCACCCTGGCCAGGATAGTCTCGATTTCTTGACCTCGTGATCCACCCACCTCGGCCTCCCAAAGTGCTGGGATTACAGGCATAAGCCACCACCTGCTGTCTATTTCCTTCTTAAGATTTTAAGTGAGTCTTAGCCTGTAGTTGAGTTTTTGGGTTGTTTTTTTTTTCTTATCCATCCAGCCATTCTGTCTTTTGATGGGCAAATATAATCCATTTAGATCAAAGGTATTGATAGATCGAGATTTGCAATTGCCAATTTGTTCAATGTTTTCTGGCTGCTGTTTTGAAGATTCTTTGTTTCTTTCTTTTCCTCTCGCTGTCTTCCTTTGTGATTTGATAATTTTCTTTAGTGCAATCCTTGGATTCTCTTTGTCTTTTGTGTATCTACTATAGGTTTGAGTGGTGTTTGTTTGTTTGTTTTGTGACCATGAAGTTTAAATAAAACATTTTATAGAGTCTAACAGTCTATTTTAGGTTGATAACTGCTTGCCTTTTATCATGTACTAAAACTCCATACTTTTGCTACCCCAAACTTTGCATTCCATGTTTCTGATGTCATAATTTACATATTTTTATATCATGTATCTGTTAACAAATTATTGAACCTATAGTTATTTTTAATACCTTTGTCTTTTAATCATTATACTAGAGTTGGAATTTACAGAGTACTATTACAGTATTAAAATATTCTGAATTTGACTGTATACTAACCACTGTGAGTTTCATACTTTCATATATTTTTATGTTACTAATAACTGCCCTTGAATCAGGTTGAAGAACTTTCTGTAGCATTTCTTGTAAGACATGTCTAATGGTGATGAACTCCCTCCAGGTGATGTCTGTTATTTCTGAAGGACATCTTTGCCAGGGAAAGTATTTTTTTCCAACATGTTGAATGTATTATTCCACTCTCTCCTCACCTGTGACAAAAGATAGACTTATGGTAGTTTCCCCAGTACGTAACTAGCCTGTTTTGTTTCTTTGAAAATTCTCTCTTTATGTTTGATTTTAGACTGTCTGATTTTATTCTGTCTTGGTAAAGTCTTCGTCAGGTTGAAGCCATTTGGGAATCTTTGAGCTTCATGCACCTAGGTGTTCATATGTTCCCCCCGATTTGGGACATTTTCAGCCACCATTTCTTTAAATAAGATTTCTGCTTCTTTCTTTCTCTTTTCTACTGAAAATTTCAATATTCAAACCCTAGTTCCTTTGATGGTGTCCCATACCTCCCATAGCCTTTCTTTATTCCTTCTCATTCTTTTTTTTCTTTTTTCTCCTCTGTATTTATAATTTCAAATAGTCTGAATTTCAGTTCACTGATTCTACCACTTGATTAAGTCTACTGTTGATACTCTCTATTGCACTTTTCATTCATTTATTACATTCTTTATCTCCAGAATTTCTGTTTGGCTTGTTTTGATGATTTCTATTTTTTAATTGAATTTCTTGTTTTGTTCATGTATTGCTTTTCTGATTTCATTGAATTGTCTATCTGTGCTTTTTGTACCTTGCTTAGGTTTCTTAAAACAATTATTTTGAATTCTTTATCAGAAAATTGGTAGATCTCCATTTCTTTGGACTTGGTTGTGAGAATAATTGGGGATTTCTTTGGGGGTCTCACATTGCCTTGATTTTTGTGTTTCTTGAGGTCTTGCATTGCTGTCTTTGCATTTGAGGAAACAACCACCTTCTTCAGTCTTTTCTGACTAATTTTGGCAGAAAAAATGCCTTCATCAGTCAGCCCAGCTAAAGATTCTTAAACTGTCTCAGATCTTTTCTGTTTGTGCCATTCTACACCTATTGATTCCTCTTGGTGGGGTGTGGGGGAATTCTTAAGACTGTATGCCTTCTTCCAACCCCAAAAATCCAGGCTGGATGCTGAGAGCTTCCCATTTGTTTTCTCTAGGGCAGTGCTCTGAAATCCTGAAGTTTTTAGGCCTTTTTACAATTCAGTAGGGTCAAATCATCTGTGTGAGATGCTTGCTTTTCCTATCCTTAGGTATGTGCTCTGGATGCTGGCCTGGGAGAAGAGGAGTGAGACACATGGAGTTTTGGGGGTGTCCCTTGTGGGTCCGGAGGTAAAATTCATGGGCCAGCTTCCTGGCAGAGTTCACAAAGTGGTTAGTAGGGTCTGTGACCTCTCTTCTCTGCTCTCATTCTCTCCCAATCTTTGAACTGTGCTGATTACCTTAGTAATCTGGGTGAGGTAATAAAAAAGTATACCTTTTGGGAAATATCCTGCATGGCTAGAGGAACAAGGTGCTCCCTCACTGTGCTCTTACTTTCTGTCATTAGAGAAACTGCAGACTAAAGGGGACACTCTTGACAATGAGCTGTGCTGCCTTGGAGGAAGGGTAACAGATAAAGTGAAACTGTTTTATTAACTCTTCAACACATAAACTTTTTGATATTTTGCTCCAAGGTGTGCTGGGACTTTTCCGGACTCCAGGACTCCTGCAAAGATACTTTTTTAGATGGGTCATTCTCAAAATTGCTGCATCTGTGGGGGAGAAGGAAGTGATGGTAGGAAGCTCCTATTCCACCAACTTGCTTATGTAGCTCCCATCATCTTTATTAATGTTGCCAATCAGTACCTCATCAAATATTTATTAAGTTCTCATTCTAAGACCTTCTCAATGTAAAATAGTAAATCTGCCCAAAAAGCTAGATTGAGGCCAAGCCATGGGACCAAACTAAAACTTTAACTGTCCAGCTTACTTGCAATTTATATTTATTTCTGCAATTATATTTTTTCAACCAGACCAGTCATTTATTTAATTTTGTCAACATAATTTCTCTTGAACCTTATAGGCTGATTTTTCCAGCATTTTACCTAGCAAATAATGGTAAGTTTAAGAACACTAAATGACTCATAATGTATTCACGTTTCATTTGCCTTACAAAAACCCAACTAAGCCACACAATGCTTAAGCAATAGAGAATTCCACATTAGTGATGCAAAATTAAATAATTTACTTTTACTCCTTGCTTTCATTTTTTTGTTTTGTTTTGTTTTGTTTTTTTGTTTTTTTTTTTTTGAGATAGAGTATCACTCTGTCCTCTGTTGTCCAGGCTGGAGTGCAGTGGAGGGATCTCAGCTCACTGCAACCTCCGCCTGTTTTATTTATTAATTTCTATGATAAATAAATATTTCCTGTTGTATTTATTAATTTCTATAGTAGAATATGATGTATTTTTATTGTACCTCTTCCTTATCCTTATACCTACAGAGAAGTCATTAAATATTGATTGGATAAATAAATGATTGAATTAATGAATATTAAACTCTCAATAAAAATTTCTAAAAGTTTAGTTGTTAGTAATCCAGCTCTGCATTCAATTATGTGTAGTTTGGTCTTGCTAAAACTCTAACACTTCTGGATTACTGCTACTGGTTATTCTGCTCTCCAGATACCGCATCCTATTTTACCAAGCTCCTTCCTTACCTGATCACAGTTTAAAACAATATATCTGCTCTTTCCCCAGCAGGATTCCCAGATTCTAGTTCTTTCTTCCAGGCAAGTTGTTCTTTTGTGATAATACTGAAACATCTGAGGTTGGCAGACCAGGCTTGTACTTCAACATAGCATAGGTAAAGGTAGCTTCTGGGTTAGCATTCTGAGAAGTACTGTAGACCAATTCAGAAGCAATAGAAATGAACACATGCTATGAAATCTTTTAATTACAAAGACATAAAGTATCAAATACTTCTTCATTGCTTTGGGGACCTAGGATACCCCATTTTTTGAGTTCAGGGTCTTTACTCTGGGGTTCATAAGAAAAATACTAAGCACCCCTCATGCTCTTGAAATGCATTATTTTCAATAATCCCACTTTTCTTTCTTTCTTTTCTTTTTTCCTTCCTTCAGAAAAACAAACAGAATGAAACAAGAAAATGGCACTGTCTCTCTGACACTAAGGACACAAATCACAGCTTTTCTTAGTGCATCAATGATTTACTGTAAAGAATTACGATTCTTGTTGTAATTGTATTCTACTTTACATATTTTGAATAGTGTAAGTGCATTATTTACATGGTAATTATATAAATAAATCTGTCTGTCCTTGAACTAAGCATTGCTATTTAGAAAGCCAGGAAGTAAACAGACCCAGCGGTTTTGAATTCCATTCAAAGATCTGCACAGCAATGTGTAGGAGTTGAACTTTTCTCCTTAGAAGCAATAGCAGAGGCATGTAAGAAAACCATACTTTCTTTACCCTTCCAACTCAGAGGATCAAATCACTTTTGGTAACTTCTGCAGCTCTTAACAATCTCTTCTGGCATTTAGAAGATGCTATCAGCTATTATTGTTTATCTTTCTTTTTTTTTTTTTTTTTTTTTTGAGGCGGAGTCTTGCCCTGTCTCCTAGGCTGGAGTGCAATGGCATGATCTCGGCTCACTGCAACCTCCACCTCCTGGGTTCAAGCGATTCTCCTGCCTCAGCCTCCCAAGTAGCTGGGACTACAGGTGCCCGCAACCACACCCAGCTAATTTTTGTATTTTTGGTAGAGACAGGTTTTCACCATATTGGCCAGGCTGATTTCGAACTCCTGTCCTCGTGATCCACCCACCTTTGCCTCCCAAAGTGCTGGGATTAATGGCGTGAGCCACTGCACCTGGCCTTATTGTTTATCTTTCATTCTTTAAAATATACTTACCAAGTCAACTACACTTTAAATCATTTAAAATTTATTCTTTATCTTTCTCTAGACCCTAGCACACACTGCCTTCTCTATAACATAATAATGTTCAATAAATGTTAATCGATAATATATATTAATTTTATGTTAACAAATATTTACTGAGATGCTGAACTAAATACTTTGGAGAGGACCATGGGCAAGACACAGTCTTGGAAATCTTCAAGGAACTTATAACCCAGTGGAAGAAAATTGGGTACTGGAAGCAGTTATACAAAGTGGAATATAGTAAGTTCATAATAAAAGTACAAGGTGATAGGAGATTTAAAAGGAGGGAATCCATTGTAATTTTTGTAATTGAAATTGTACTTTCTAGAAAACAGGATACCACTTAATGCATTATCAGATTGATGCTGATTGAAATAACAGCTTATTCTTGCTTTCTCTTAATATTACTTTTTACTACTAACTTTCATGGCTTTCATTATACTTCTTTTAGGTTACTCCCATCTAGTAGCTGGAAAAGGCCTCTATGAAAGCCTGTTTCTCTCATAAACAGAAGTTGTCACATATCTACATTCAAGCAAAATATATCTAGTCAATGGAGACAAGATGAGAGATGTATGCATATAAACCTGAAGATCATGTATCTCTGAGTTCATTTTTTTAAGAGACTTGTCTTCCTTCTCTTGCTTTCAAAGTTATTTATGACTTCAAAAAAAGAACTTGCTTTCCTCTTCTTTTGGAAAATGCTCCATGGTTAGTCTAACTTTACTCACTAATAACAATTCCTCATTCAGAGATGCAATAATGAGACATAATATTACAGAAACTCCAGAGTATGAGCAACACAGGCAGTTCAAACTGAGAAACAGACAATAGTGAAGCCTGAAACTATGTTTGAAGAGGGATCTGGAAGAAAAGACAAGAGTAGAAAAGGGAAGAGCAGAGAAGGAAGCAATCTAGGTCCAAACAGAATGTATACATGCTTGGAGCCAGTTCTCTTAGTTTCATTGAATCATAATGAATATTTTCAGAAACAACTTTACACCACTTTATTTAAGCCTCCATTTTGTGCCTTTTATTATCAAGTGTTCATTTTCCATTAGTGATTTCCAGATTTCAGCACTTTCATTGTCTTTTCCAAAGTTGGTGTAATTTTTATATGCAAACATGTATTGATCCTGCTCAAAATCAATTCTTGTTTTGTAAAGGGCTTCACTTTCATTTTTTTCTTCAGTGATATTATTATTCCTATATCATCTCCAGCTACCAGCCACTTTTTTCTATAATAAAACAGACACATTACTTTCCATACCTGATGTATATTTTGTATGAAAGGTATATACAGATTGTTCATTTATTCAAATAAAAAAATGAGGACACATGGCTGCACAGAGCACATTTCCTTTGGTTTATATGTTTTTTTCCACAAAAAGCATATAGTGCTATAAAAATTATATTACATTTACCCATCTATACAAAATGTTACTTTGATTGAGAAAGTATAGAATTATGTGAAAGTAAATGCACATTTCAGCAAAAAGTGTATCAGTTAACAATAATATTGCATTTTATTTTGTCCATTGTTAACTATTGAAGTTGATGGCATATTTTTCTGTTTACACTTGCTTGAAATTAGGTAGAACACTTAGTTCTTATGTGTTCTTTAACATGTCTTGGAAAAGATCAGAATAATTAATTTGAAGTATCAAGAAATAGCCTTTTATTGGGTATTGATAAATTTTTTTACATGCAGTTTCATTAATTAGTAAAGATGCCCATTGCATCCCTCACAATTGACAATGAGATATTGAGATTGTACCTTTTTTAATATTTAAAATACTAATTGTTCTCGAAATAGAAATCTCACAGTACACTCAGATATCTTATACTTTCATAAAAGTCATTGTATTAGTCAAGGTTCTCCAGAGAAATGGAAATAATAGTTTAGATATAGTACAGAGATTATATATAGAGAGATTTATTATGATGAATTGGCTCATATAATTATGGAGGCTAAGTCCCATGATCTGCTATCTGCAGGATGACACCCCAGGAGAGCCTGTGGTGTAATTCCAGTCTGAATCTCAAGGCCTGAGACCCAGGGGAATAGATAATATAAATCACAGTCAAGGAAAAGAGAGGACTCATGTCCGAGCTCAAGCAAGCAGGCAAGAAGAGAATGAGTTCAAGTCCTCCTGTCCTCCATTTTTTTGTTCAACTCAGGACCTCAACAGGTTAGATGGTGCCCACCCACGCTGAGGAGGACAATCTGCTTTACTGAGTCCACTGATTAAAGTGTTAATCTTATCTGGAAACACCCTCACAGACAAAACCAGAAATAATATTTAATCTGGGCACTGCATGGCCCAGTCAAGGTGACACAGAATTAACCATCATACAGTCTATTTAGAAAGAGCACTGTCCACACTATAACATGTTCTCATACAAATAGGGAAAAAAAGGTCAAACATTTTCCAGTCTTTCTTCTTTCCTTTCCTTCCTATATTATTTTACATACATTTATTTATATGTTAGTTCTTTTGAAAGAACATTATTATCACTGCTACTTACTTCAACTAAAGAAACAATTAAAACTCAACTTCTGTTCTCACAGTTTCACATGAGGCAATGAAACAAATAATGCTAACTAAACTATTACTTCACGTAGAAATATTATGAAATAAATTTAGATATTAAATGTATATACTAGAACTCATCTGCATCCTGCTCTCCAAAAAAAAAAAGACCCAAATAAAAATTACCACTATGAAAGTCATCAATAACATTTTACACAATGTATTATTACAGATCTTAGAGAGTAACACAAGAATGCCATCTGGATCTAAATGCCTCCTGAGAACAAGTACTGATTCTGATTATCTGTAATAATAACTCCTAGAGTAGAAATTCAACTTTAATACCAAACTTCTTCCATCAGTTTCCTAGAAAAACTTTAAACTCACTCTTCCGTAAGAAATCTGGACACTGAAATGCCACAAAGCTGTGGATAATCCTTTTGGTCACAAGAAATATGTCCTCTAAACTAAGAAATCTGTTAATTGTACTAAATGAAGCACACAGTGACCTCAACTAAAGTCAGCTCCCAAATTTCAGTGTTAAAAAACATATTAAGAGTGACATATAAGTTCTACATGAATATTGACACTATGCTTTTTACATATCATATGATATTGTGAGCAGGATGGCTGAACTGGACACATACTGTGTTTTAATTTGATCTACCATGAGCACCCGAAATAGAAATAATAAAAAACACCCTTGCTTTAGAAACATGTGTGGATTACATTAAGAAAAGAAAGAGGATACTAAATCTGATGTTTGTATATATTATAAAGGTATTTCTCAAATCACCTTTCTGACACCTTTTCTATATCGATCAAATACTGTTAGACTGACATTGTCTGACCTGTCTAAATCCATCAATAGCTAGGCTCTTGATGCCTGATTCCCAGGGTACTTTAGCTCTTAGTCTTAAATATGAATATTATTCATAAGCTTTTTTACTAAAGAGATCAATCATTATGTGCATATTAAATTTGCATTATTGCTGCTGTTAACAGTGCCCTTTGGCTGGCCACAGATTACACTCTTATGCATAGGCTGCCATAGACAATAAACATTTCATTAGTGACACTTGAAATGTACTCACAGGATACCATATCCCCAAGAGTGTATATGTGAATTATAAGAAACCTGTTTAATGTTAGGGCAAGTACATATTCCCTATAGTTTGCATTGTATTTCTATTCTGGGTGCCACAAACCCTACCATTAAATATATTTTGCCCACTTAAAAACTGCTTTGTGGGGATGGCATGTCTTAATTGTTCCCAAGACAATGCATAATGCACTGCTGTGATGGGCCTTCAGTTAAACTAATAGGCAGGCAAGTTGCTGCCTGGCTTCAGCAGATTTTAAAGCACTAATGAAACACACTGTACGAAACAACAGTGACAAAAACTTTTTAGCAGGGGAAGAAAAATAAGATTCCAGAAGAGGTTTCCTAGTTTTTAATAAATAAAAATAAACAGAAAATGTGTTTTACTGACTCATTCTGATGCTTCTATTGTCTTCTGTACATAATATATTTTAAGAACAGTGAAATATTCGTGCCAAATTTTCCAAAGCAACTAATTTGTGTATAAAAATTATGCAGAGGAAGACAAAATCAGCTAGTTGCCATTATGAATCAGGCAGTTGTGCATGTAAAACAGGTAATGGCATATTTTGTACCAGCAATTACCTTTCTTGCACCTGTGAGTCTCTGTTTTGCATATGTAAGTAGGTCCCTGTTTATTGCATTTAAAGCTGCTACCTCAGCTTCTTTAGGTAAACTTTATGTTTTACTAAATGTCATTCCAAAACAAAAAAAAAGGGGCATTTCTATGGTGGGTTTATGTGTATGTGGGCACGTGTGTGCCTGTGTGTATGCTTTTTAAATAACTGTAAAATTGATGCTAACTTTATTTGGTTTTAACTACTGTACCTTGCAGGGCCATGTTCGATGATACAAAATATTTCCTTTTGGTTTTATGACACAAATGTCTAAATGTCCTGCTTCTGAGATGTATCAATCAAATCAAAGGTTCAAATTTAATATTATCCAGGTGCCAGGATGAGAGGGAAAATGATACTTCAGTTTACAGTCAACCGATGCAGAATGACTTCACAGTCAATAACAGGCTCCTGCATATATCTCTTGTAGATCCATTACTTCAGGGTTCATAAAGTGGAATGCAGCACTTCTGACAATGCCTTAGGATTTTTTCTCTCCCTATATATTTTTTAATTGTTACTTGCATAGAAAAGGGAAAATATCAAATTCACTTTTCATAGGATAATTTTATATAGGCATTATAAGCAATTAAAATCCACAGTGTTTCAAGGACACTTCACAGCTTTTCAATAAACTGAAGCAAACCCCTGAATCCATTTTTATAATCCTACTGCATATAGTAGCTAGTCATTCTGAAGCTATCAAACTGAATGCTTGAATACTTCTTACTGGCCTATTATTTATCATTAAATATCCAAGAAGGTACACAAGACATGATCTATCCAGCAGACCACACCACTAGGCACATGTCTAAGAAGAAAAATTTCAAGCAAAAGTATCCAATTGAACTTCATTACTTGCCAATTTTATGGCAAATAGCATACTATATTTGTTGATTTTTATTCCAGGCAACTGTATGAGAAAAGTTTATGGTCAGGAGTAAATTTTAGATTTACAAGTCAGGCTGTTTCAAAATCAGGGAATGGAATGTCTTGCTTCTCTCTTGAGGCCCTAGAAAGGGGACCTAGAAGTTGTAACATGATTACCTAATGATAATGGAACTTCTGGCACTTCCCTAAGGACAAAGTTTGCCACTGATACATTGTCATTTACTAGGTATAGTGAGTAAGATGGACATAAGACTGGACTTAAAGTCAGCTACTTAAAGGTCAAGGGTATGATAAACTTGATGATTTATCACATATATGGTGATGATGATCACCAGACAACAAAAGGGAAGGAAGCATAAGGAGCAGACTTTTTTCCTTTTTCCAACTAGACTTAGTCTTTTGGCCGAGGAAAGGGTAAGGCATAGTTTGCCCTAGAGGTTAAAGAAATAATAATGTTCTACATGTACAGGGTCATTTCTCTGAAACAGAGGTCAGCAAAGTCTTTCTGTAAAGGGTCAGACAGCAAACATTTTATGCTTGGCAGGCCATATGGTGTCTGTTGCAACAATTCAATTCTGCCATTGTAGCAAAACAGCAGCCATAGACAATTCGTAAATGAAATGGGTGTATCTGTGTTCAAGAAAATCTTATTTACAATGACAGGCACTGGGCCAGATTTGGCTCATAGAGTGTAGTTTGCTGACAGCTGATCTAAATGAAAAACAAACAAACAGAACAACAACAAAAAAAAACCTTTATGAGCTTGAACAAAATCAATGTTATAAGGGTAAGAGGGAATCTTTGCCATTGTTAATGCTCACATCTTCCTGCTTCATGACATCCATCTTTTGGAGGCGTGTACAGCTACAGCCATGTGTGGGGTTATGAACTCAAGGTTTCTCTTTCTTTATTTCTCAGCATTATATCCCTTATTCCAATTGTTACCAACAGATAAACAATAATTAATTTTGTGTGTGAGGGTTGTACATTGGGAGCCTGAGGGGCCATTTAAGAGAGCACTTTAGCTATGGATGGACAAAGAATGGAAAACAAAGAAATCCATGAAATTCTTAGAAGTATTAGGATAGAAAATAATTTTTTAAAAGGAAAAACATGGCCGGGCGCGGTGGCTCACGCCTGTAATCCCAACACTTCGGGAGGCCGAGGCAGGCGGATCACGACGTCAGGAGATCAAGACCATCCTGGCTAACACGGTGAAACCCCGTCTCTACTAAAAATACAAAAAATTGGTCAGGCGTGGTGGCGGGCGCCTGTAATCCCAGCTACTCTGGAGGCTGAGGCAGGAGAATGGCGTGAACCCGGGAGGCGGAGTTTGCAGTGAGCCGAGATCGTGCCACTGCACTCCAGCCTAGGCAACAGAGCGAGACTCTGTCTCAAAAAAAAAAAAAGAAAAACATTAATTCGTTAATTCATGCATCAGGTAAACAAGTGAAATGGCAAAAAAAAGTCATCCCCCTTGTTCCCTTTTTTTCAAGAAGATGAAGAAAGAGGAAAAAGAAGAAAAACGTGGAGCAGTAATAATCCCTACAGCGTACCAGGTGCAGTGCAAAGTGTTTTGCATGCGTTTATTCTAGCAATTTAATTCTAGAAAGAATCTTGTGAATTAGACTCCGTTGTTACAGCCAATTTACATATGAGGAAACAGAGACTCAGCATGGGCTCAGAAACTTACTCAAGGTCAAACAAGCAAATGACAGAATGGGAATACTCTGGAATAACTGATCAGTATCTACATGGAAAGCAAGCATAATGTGAATTCACCAATTCACATATAAAATTTCCAAGAAAAGAAATGTCAAGTAGGTCAATAAAAGACCCATAATTTTTAACTTGAAAAAATCTTGTATTAAGTTGGCTATAATTTATCTTTGATATGCTCTAGATCCTGAATTATATTTATAATAATAATATAAGTATGTATGTGCCTCCTTAAATTTCCATCATGAAGATTTCCCAATGATAGCACCATTGGTTACCCCTTTTCAAATCTCTTGTGTAAATGACTCTTGCCTAGATCGAGTCTATCAACTGTCACCATATCTACCAGTATAAGGTCTGGCACATAATAGCTACTTTTCTGAGAAAATACAAAGCAGAGCATAATTGTTGTTTCCTGCCAATCAGTTCTGTTCACCATACCTGTAAAGTTTGCTGAGAAATATATTTTAAATTCTCATCATGCTATTCACTCTACTTGAAATATCTTTCCTATAACCTAGTCCTCTTCATGGTTTCAAAATAAATGAATATTTAAAAAAATGGCTTTTTAACTTTCTGCTCAAAATTGACCCCATCATTTCTACCTATACTTCATTGTTAAAAGCTAGTCACATGGACATGGATGTATACTCCTTACCAAGAAAGGACTGCAAGCTCTTGGCAATGGGCAGGAATGTCTAATTCTCTCATATGGGAAGAGATAATAAATATTTGAGGATAATAAAAAGACCTATCAGTGCAACAAGATTTTGGTTAGGAAATGTAGAGAACATAGAAAACTTAAGTAAGACATGTAAATAGTGATCTGACAAAGTGATACAAGTTATTATAATGAATGATTTAAAATAGTAGTTCTTAATATATTTAGACCAACTTAACCGGAGCAAAAGACCCAAAGGTCCACTACTGAATATCCAGATGAAAAGGATTTGGTATTAACAAAGAAGTAGCATTCTACAAGCGAGTATTATCTATATATTTTGCAAGCTTTTACATAAATTTGCATTAGTAGGAGAGGAATAATTTATTTATATCCAAAATCTAACACATATATGTCTTAAAGTCTAGATATAGTTCTAAAATATTGATTACAATATGTATCACTACAAAATCTAGAGTTAACCAGAAAACTTTCACCAAACACAGTGATTATAATAAAACTATGTTTTATTATTAAGTAATTTAAAAATAAAAAATCAGCTATGAGAAGCCATGAACAACTCAGGACAACTGTCTCCTCTGTTTTTTTTTGGAAATTTCAACTTTTTATGAGTATTTACATGCCACAAGCATTTGTAACAATTGCACATATTATGCAGCAAGAAGATTTCTTAGTACAATTCTGATTCAAACCCTTAATAAGTACTATTAAAGTAAAATTTTAGTAACTTTACAGTTTACTAAATAAAAGATGGTAGTATGTTTAAAGAGTCTTTAAGATTACATGGCATTGTTGTTTACTACCAGAACAAGAGAAAGAAATTACACTTATTGATTTGGCTTCCCCCATTAAAAGAATCCTGATTATCAATCAATTGGTATTTCATAGGTCATATTTTGAGATTCAGTATTTTATAATATCCAAGAAGACATCAAACAATTAAAATTATTATAGACTTGATAAAAACCAGATAATTCTAAATTATATTCTGAAATCTAACATCAATACTTTCTGTTCAACCAAATTTATGAGCCTTCTGGATGTTTGCTAGCTTACTACAGTCATGATATCAAAGGCGAGATTCATGTGTGTGACAGAAGTGAGGATGCATGAGAGACTTAATCAACTCCAGTTTACTATAGCCTGGCTATACTGATCTATGAGCCAGAGGAAATTTGCAAATAATAGTGTCTGATCTTCATGAAGAAGTCTTCAGGAAGAGCAGAAGATATGCCAAAAAAAATTTTTTGTCCATCTTAATTATATTTCACTGATGAGCACCAATCTACAAAATGATGAGGAAAACTTCCCATAGTAAAGCATCTCAGTTAAAGTAAATTCTTTGAAAATTTAACGTGTATTAGCAGCTTTCCAAAACTCGTTACTTCATCAATGCCAGAGAACTGGCATTTATTAAGTAAACAAAAACAGATGGTGTAATATGTAAGCAACTACCACCAGAGTTAAAGAGGTCATGATTTTGTGAAGAACCAAGTAGAAATGGGTCTAGAAATTTTAAAAATGCAACTCTATAGAATGATTCCCTTCAGGAATATATTAATATTCCTGGATTAGTATTAGTATGTAATATGTTGTTGGGCACCAAATATTTTTTTAAATTTACACATGCACATTCAAACACAATGTGTATATAAAATCAATAACACAGATACTCTAGGAACATGTTTCATGAAATCATCTTAACCTCACAAACTTATGGGTAATTTCCTGCCCTGGTCTTTCCAACAGCCCAGCTTGACACATGGCAGACCACTGGCAGTGGAAAATGCTTTCATTTATTAATTACTCATCTCCTGGGTTACAGAGCCACCCAGAGGGTACTGTAAACAGTTTTCAATTTCTTCCTACATATAAATCATTTAGTAACTCTTAGTTCAACACAGCTCCTACCAGAGCAGGCAACAAATATATCTCAGGATGCAAACATATCTATCACATGAGTTGTGTACCTGTTGCCTGACTCACACTTTTTTTCTGTATAGCCCTGTATGTTGGTAGTCTAACAAAACTTTTCACTGGCATTGAGAGTCAAGTCAGAACCTTCTATATTATTCAAATGAGATGGGCTCAAATTATATCATTCTCGTAACATTCCTATACACTTTTCCTTTTCTCTCTCTTTCTCTTCAGCGATTTCTCCACATTTGGTGTATTTTCCTATTCTGTTAAACCAGATTTATAAATAAGCATTGCTGAGCCTCTAAGTACTCTCTCCTGAAAATGTATTCTAAGAGAAATTCTGACCCATCACAAACTCATAATTCTAGTGTCCAAAGCCATGCTCAAATGAGGTCATAGGATTTAAGTTCCCAGAACTAGACTTAAAACAATATCATTTATGCAAGGATGTTTTATATTCAAAGTGCTATACTCAAATTCTTTTTAAACTGACCAAGCTGATTTTGTCTTACTTAACCTTGTTACTACTTGGTCAAATCTCCACCACTGAAATATTATGTAAGTAAAGATCCAGCATTAGGAAAGTCTGCTTTTCACTATATAGTACTTCTAATTAACATTTTCTTTCTGTCCTCATTAACTGCTGCCATACTTATTTAGTTGACCACATCAGTGTCTACTATGCACAATACCATTTATAAGCCA
Source organism: Homo sapiens (assembly GCF_000001405.40). NCBI lineage: Eukaryota > Metazoa > Chordata > Mammalia > Primates > Hominidae > Homo > Homo sapiens. The sequence continues at coordinate 57,948,366 of NC_000002.12, forward strand.
TTTGGGGGAAGGAAAGAAAGGCAAGTGCATTTAAATTTCCATTTCTGTTTATCTTTAAAGCTAAACAGTGGCCTTCAAGAAAATTTTTAGCTGTATCCAGTTCTGCAGGCATGTATATTTAGTTCCTGATAATATGATAGTTAATGCAAAGAAGCTTTTCTTGTTTCTGGTCCTTAGATGGCCTCTAGTTATGCCTCTCCAATGAATAAAATATCTTAACTTGTGGGTTTTAAGTGCTGGTAAAAAAAAAATTTAAGTGACACATTGATCAGAATAAGAAACATTCTTAGAAAGAAGAAAGATTTGGATACCATCTGTGTACTGGTAATAATAAAGCCCACATAAGCTTTCTTGGTAAGGTGAGGATCAAAGAGAAGTAGGAGAAAGCATAGTTGAGCACCCCAAAAATAGCCATTAATGGGAAAAGAGGGCAGAAAGAACCTGAAAAAGAGACACAAAATGAGTATTTTGAAAGGTCTGAGAAGGAAGAAATTATGGTGTCATTGAAGTTAAGCGGAAAAGGGTAGCAAGGAAGAAAGGAAAGCTGATGAAGTAAACTGCAGTAGAAAGGAACACTAAGGTAAAGCTAGAAAAGGGGCTGTGAATTTATATAGAAGGAATTCATTGATGACCCTATTGAGAATAGTAGTGGTAGAGTAAAATTATGAAAGTAAAATTGCAAAACATTAAGTTGGGAGTGGTGGTGGGGGACAGGGGGCGGGAATAGAAGTAGTTGTTTTAAACTAGACAATCAGCAAATTGAGATTTCATAGGAAGAAAAAAGGATTTGAAAATAGCTGGAAAAATTGTAGCGTCAAGAACAATTTTCTGCAAAAATAGAAGGGCTCTGATAATGATTACAAGTTATATTCAGGTATACCCTGTTTTATTGCACTTCATTTTATTAAGCTTTGCAGATATTATGTTTTTTATGAATTGAAGCTTTGTGGCAACCCTGCATCGAGTAAGTCTATCAGGGCCATTTTTCCAACAGCATGTGCTCACTTTTCTCTGTATCACATTTTGGTAACTGTCACAATACTTCAAACTTTTTTATTATCATTATGTCTGTTATGGTGATCTGTGATCAGTGATCTTTGATATCATTATTGTAATTGTTTTGGGACACCATGGACCGCGCCTACATAAAGTGGCAAACTTAATTGATAAATGTCGTGTGTGTTTTTACTGCTCCACCAACTGGCCATTCTCCTATTTCTCTCCCCCTCCTTGGACTTCTCTGTTCCTTGAGACACAATAATATTGAAATTATGCCAATTAATAACCCTACAATGGCCTCTAAGCATTCAAGTGAAAGGAAGAGTTATATGTCTGTCACTTTAAATCAAAAGCTAGAAATGATTAAGCTTAATGAGGAAGGCATTTCAAAAGCCCAGATAGATTGAAAGCTAGGCCTCTTGTACCAGTTAGCCAAGATGTGAATGCAAAGGAAAAGTTCTTGAAATAAATTTAAAAAGTACTAATCCAGTGAACACACAAATGATAAGAATGTGAAACAGCCTTATTGCTGATAAGAAGAAAGTTTGAGTGGTCTGGATAGAAAATCAAACCAACCACAACCTTCCCTTACCAAAGCCTAATCAAGAGCAATACCTGAACTCTCTTCAATTCTGTGAATGTTGAGAGAGGTGAAGAAGCTGTAGAAGAAACACCTGAACCTAGAAAAGGTTAGTTCATGAGATTTAAGGAAAGAAGCCATCTCTATAACATAAAAGTGCAAGATGAAGTAGCAAGTGCTGATGTGGAAGCTATAGCAAATTATCCAGATAAAGCTAACATTACTGATACAGGATGCTACAATAAACAATACATTTTCCATGTAGATAAAACAGCCTTCTATTGAAAAACGATGCCATCTAGGACTTCCATAGCTAAAGAGAAGAGGTCAACTCCTGGCTTCAAAACTTCAAAGTACAAGATGACTCTTGTTATGGACTAACACAGTTGGTGATTTTATGTCAGAGCCAATGCTCACTTACCATTCAGCAAATCGTGGGGCCCTTAAGAATCATGCTGAATATACTGCATCTGTGCTCTATAAATGGAACAACAGTCTGGATGTCAGCTCAAGTCTTTACAGCATGGTTCACTGAACATTTTAAGCCCACTATTGAGACCCACTGCTTAGAGAAAAAGATTCCTTTCAAAATATTACTGCTCGTTGACAATCCACCTTGTCACCCAAGAACTCAATGGAGATGTATAAGGAGATTAATGTTGTCTTCGTGCCTGCTAACACAACATTCATTCTGCTGCTCATGGATCTAGGAGTAATTTCAAATTTCAAGTCATTATTTAAGAAATACATTTTGTAAGGCTACAGCTGTCATAGATGGTGATTCTTCTGATGAATCCGGGGAAAATAAATTTAAAATCTCCGTAAAGGATCAACCATTCTAGACGCCATTAAGAACATTGGTGATCTGGCTGGGCATGGTGGCTCATGCCTGTAATCCCAGCACTTTGAGAGGCTGAGGCGGGTGGATCACGAGGTCAGGAGATCAAGACCATCCTGGCCAACATGGTGAAACTCCATCTCTACTAAAATACAAAAATTTAGTCAGGCATGGTGGTGTGTGCCTGTAGTCCCAGCTACTCAGGAGGCTGAGGCAGGGAAATCACTTGAACCCAGGAGGCAAAGGTTGCAGTGAGCCGAGATTGCAGCACTGCACTCCAGCCTGGTGACAGAGCAAGACTCCATCTCAAAAAAAAAATAATAAATAAATAAACATTGGTGATTCATGGGAGGAGTTCAAAATAAATATCAATATTAGCATGAGTTTTAGAAAAAGTTGATCCAATCCTCATTAATGACTTTGAGGTGGTTAAGACTTCAGTGGAGGAAGTAACGGCAGATGTGGTGGAAATAGCAAGAGAACTGGAATAAAATGTGGAGCCTGAAGATGTGACTGAATTGCTGCAATCTCATGATAAAACTTGAACAGATGAAGAGTTGCTTCATGCAGACGAGCAAAGAAAGTGGTTTCCTGAGATAGTATCTACTCCTAGTGAAGATACTGTGAATATTGTTGAAATGACAACAAAAGATTTAGAATATCACATAAACTTAGTTTATAAAGTAGCAGCAGGGTTTGAGAGGATTGACTCCAATTTTGAAAGAAGTTCTACTGGAGGTAAAATGCTATCAAACTGCTTCACAAGACACAGAGAAATCTTTAATGAAAAGAAGAGTCAATTGATGCTGCAAACTTTGTCTTATTTGAAGAAATTGCCACAGCCACCCTAATCTTCAGCACTATCACTGTCATCATCAGCAGTCATGTACACTGAGGCAAGACCCTCTACCAGCAAAACAATTATGACTTGCTGAAGGCTCAGATGATTGTTAGCAGTTTTAAGCAATAAAGCATTTTTTTCTGAGTTGTGGTCTCTGTTGCCCAGGATGGAGTGCAGTGGGGCAATCATAGCTCATGGCAGCCTCAGATTCCTGGGCTCAAGTGATCCTCCCACATCAGCCTCCTGAGTAGTTTAAACTACAGAAGCATACCACCATGCCCAGGTAATTTTTTTTCCTTCCTTTTTTTTTTTTTTTTTTAAGAGAGGAGGTCTCACTATTGCTCAAGCTGGTGTTGCACTACTAGCCTCAAGAGATCCTCCCGCCACAGCCTCCTGAGTAGCTGAGATTACTGATGTGAACCACTACACTCAGCAAGTATTTTAAAATTAAGACATATATATCTATATATTTATACCTTAATTTATATTTATAGAGAGAGAGAGATAGAGATAGAGATAGAGAGACATAATTCTATTGCACACTTAATAGACACAGTATAATGTAAACATAACTTTTATATGCACTGGGAAACCAAAAACTAGTGTGACTCACTTTATTTTGGTGGTCTGGAAAAAAACCCACAACACCTCCAAGGTATGCCTGTATAAAGGCAGAGAGAAATTGATAATACCCATAAGGAAAGGGAAATGCAATGTCTTCTCCTTTGAAAAGTAAAATCTTCCATATTTTTAGAGATCTTAATAGAGATTAAAGAGAAGAAAGAAAGGAGATAACAAAAACGAAAGAGGGAATTAACATTTTGGCTCGCTTCATTGTTATTTCTTCCAAACTCTGGTTTTTCCAAGTTGCTTCAGGTTCACTCAGATTCAACAAACATTTAACAAATACTCTGTGCCAGGAATTTTACTAGGTATATATCCTGAACATACATATCCTTACCTGGAAGAAACATTGTTCATAAAGCAAGGATACACACATAAAAGTGAATTAAAGTAACATTTATGTAAGTATTCTCGGATACATGATCTCATTTGCCTCTCAAAATAACCTAAGGAGATGGGGAGAGCAGGTGTTATCTTTACTACAGATGAGGAAACTGAAAATGAAAAAAAAAAAAAACAGAGGGATGTCAAATATTGCATTGTTAATTGAAACCCAACCCAAGACTTCTGGGTGAAAGCCAGGGCCATCTCCACTGAAACCTAAAGTCTGCCATGGATTTGACTGTGGATGTGCCACCCTCACTTTTTCTGACAACCTGGGCCTTGACTTAGAAGACAATGATACCTTCACCAACTTCATTTTCTGAGCTTCTCGTCAGATGTCGTGGGATGATGCATATCTGTTACATTCCCCAAGGACAGAGTGATGTGTGGCCATGATAACTTTATGCAAATTATAGCCAAGCAGCTCAGAGTTGAGAAACCTTAAAGACAAAAGGTGAGGAGGAGAAGAGGGAGCAGAATATTCCTTTTTTCAAAACTTCAGAAGATGATGATCCAGAAACTAATAGTACTACATATTTACTTTCCCATCTCTGTTGCCAGCTTTGACCTGCTTATAAAGGAGAAACAGAGATCACTTTTGCTCTTATCTGATTTGTTCGAATTGATGCTGATTACTTTTGTCTTGATTGTAATGCACTTTTTCTGCATCTAGGCTCATTTTGAGCATTTGTCATAACATATCTTTATGATGGATTTGTCACTACTTTCCTCATTGTTCCATATCTATAATACAGATTCTAACTATTGATAGGGCATTTTTCTTTTGGTTCATTAGCCTAGGAATGAACTAGGTAGTTCCAGTAATTAAAAAAGGGAAATCACTTTGCGTGTATCCCATAAAATATGAAAATTGTTATTAAATTATGAAAAAATATTAGAACTGCAGTTATACACTTAAACACTTTTCTGCTTATTAAGGTAGTTATTATAGTTCCTGTATTCATCTTTTACATACAGTCATTTACTTGTTTTCATGCTATTTCTGTGATGTAGGAAGGTTAAATATAATTCTCATTAATATATTTTTTTAAAGTGAGCTATGAAGAGTAACATGTTGATGGCCACGCTATCAGAGGAAGACATTTCCACTAAGATGCCCAGAATGAAGAGAGGGAAAAAAAAAGTCCTTCGGACTCTATATTCCATACTTTGTGCATTATAAAAAAATTAAAATGAACTGATATTATTATATTAATCTGAATTTTTATAAGTAAAAAGTTTCTTCAAAAAAACTGAATAAAATCGTATCACAAAAAAGTTAATAATAGATAATATTACTTAAGATAACAGCTTGAATTCGGTCTTTCCCTGGCAAAACTTCTTTTCCCATGTTATATTCTCCTATGCCTCTCCCATCTCACCACCATGTCCTCCCAACATTCCAGCACTTGTTTCAGTGTTTAGAACACTGTAGCCCCTTGGTAAATTCACTATTTGACTCTACATATTTATATTTCTGCCATCTTTTATTTACTTCTTACTAATTTGAGGGTTTATGAAAAGTTGATTTTCATAAACTTGCATTTAGTGGGCTTTTCAACACTAGACCAGAAATATTATGCAATACTTATTTTTACCCAAATCATCTAGAAATCTTAAGCCACTGAAGGAAGTAATCCATATGACCTCATTATGGATTTGATTCTATTCAAACTGAGTTCTATACAGTGGAAATTGTATGCAAGAAGAAGTAAATATCGCCTCATCCAACCCCTTCAGTTTAAATATGAGGAAACAAAGGTCCAGATAGGCTAACTGCCCTCCTCAAAACCATTCAGTTAGCACCAGACTCAATTCAACATGTTGTTTCTTGACTCCTACCAGTCTAATGTTTTCTTTTTTCCATTCTGCAAAAGCTGAATCTTCAATATGCAGTGTTTTTTTCTTAAGCTAAGTTACATCTTTTAGGAAATAAAAAAGTTCCTAAAACTCAATATACTAAAAGTATAGGGTTTATCTCATCTTTGCACTTAGTGTTACTAAGTTCAGAGTGTTGCTATATGATGATGTCAATAATGATACTAGATTATAGGGTCAATTTCCTAATCATAGTCTGCATACGCCCAGGCCCACCTGTAAATTTTAAAATCATGAGCCTGATGGAACTTGAAATGTATCTCAATATGTAAGGGTGAATTTATCATCACTACTCGGGAAGAAAAGGTAAGACATTGCCTACTGAGAGTGCCACCAATTTTTACACAAAAGTCAGCAACATAGAAAGATAGAATCTCACAGAAAAAAGAAGCCGTGCATTGTTTATGTCTGGAAATTATGTAGATTATTGGAGATGTTAAATTAACTTGATATTTTCCCCCAATTAAGTATAAAGCATAGATATGGTGGACTATTAAAAAATGTTTATGATATATTTACCAAAACTAGGACATGGGGTAACAGAGACAGCCTATAAGAATTGGTGAAGAACATCTTATGGCCTAGAATAGGATAGAAGATATGAGGAAAGAAATGAAGAGCATTGTTTCAACATTGTCTCCTGAACAGAGTAAACTTCAATTAATATTATTTGAACAAGATTAATTTAATACCATCATAGAGTCTTAAATACCACATAATGCAATCTTCAACACTATGAAAAATAATGATGTATATTATAAGAGGTCTGTATATCCAAATAATTTCAGAATATAAAGATGTGGCAAATGTGAAATTTCTGTAAATATATGCAAACACATATATCTAAATATATGCAAACACATAAATATATCTCTACCAACTCCCTAAATCCCACTGATAATGATAGCAAAATATAAAAATGAGAGTAGATCAGGAATTACATTAGAAAACATTAAAAAGTATTATCATCAGATTTGCTGAATTTTCAAAGATATAACACATATGGAATATAATTGACAGCAAAATCTGAAAGTGCTGAAGAACCAGAGGTAAAACAGAATAAAACCGTTAATTTTCCCACAGAATACTAAACTACAAATTATCAAAAAACATCTTCTCTATTTAAAAAAATGTGGGGCTTAACACCCAGGTGATAGGTTGATAGGTGCAGCAAACCACCACCACACACATTTACCTACAGAAAAACCCTACACATCCTGCACATGTATCCTGGAACTTAAAATAGAATTAAATTTTTTAAATAAAATTTACTGTGAGAGATTAGCAATGAGAATTTTTGCACATTAGAAATATTACGATCATAATTTAGCAAAAAGTAAAAATTTTATTTTGGGTACAAGGACAGATATCCTTTTGGTGAGTTTTTCACCATTGGGAAGATTGCATTAGATGTTATAAATAAGGGTTAACAAACAAAGAAGGTTTTCTAGAGAGATGAATTTGGTTTAATGTAGAAATAAACTTGAAAATAAAAGTGTCCTATTTTCACTGTTAATAATAAATACATTCAAATATGTTCAACGTATAACAATAGATTTATAAAAGAAATGAGCACCCTGCAGCATTAAAAATAGTATTCAGGCCAGGTGAGGTGGCTAATGCCGCTTTGGGAGGCAAAGGACGGAGGATTGCTTGAGGCCAGGAATTCAAAACCAGCCTGAGCAACATAGCAAGGCTCCACCTCTACAAAAGAAAAAATAAAAAATCTGCTGGGCATGGTGATGCATGCCTGTAGTACTAGTTACTTGGGAGGCTGAGGCAGGAGGATTGCTTGAGCCCAGAAGTTAGAGGCTGCAGCTACCTGTGATCATGAGACTGCATTCCAGCCTGAGTAACAGAGTGAGACCCTATCTGTAAAATACTATAAAATATAAAGTAAAATAATAGTATTCATTCGTTTTGCACTAAGCCTTCTTCCAGGATGTCCTAATGGACTGTGAAGCAGTAAACATTTAGACTTGCACAAGCACTCTTCCCTCTATCTGGTTCTCTAATTCTCTTACTTTTTCTAGGTTTGGATTTAATTCTTTATTCACTTTTTCATTTGAACACTACATATATTAAGTTTGGGGAATCCATTCTTTCTCTTCTTTAGGTCTTCGTATGAAGAACCATACTTAGTTCCAATTACAGGCATGTCTCAGAGGGCAAAAGCATGGATTATTTATGCCTTATTTGGAGAAGAAAGTAGGCATTGTATGACTATCAGCAGCAATTTTTCAATAAGAATATTCTTGATATTTTAGAAATGAAGCTTTCAGAAGAGTCTCCAGGTTTCACTAACTTGTTACTTCCTTATTAAAACACAGTTTTAAAATGTCTGCCATTGTATTAAATATCATGGACATTGATATTTCAAATATGCAAATGTAGTTTGGGATCTCATTTGTACTGTGTATCTTCAGCACGTAGCTCTAAGTCCTCTTACAATTTACAAAAATCAGATGATCATATACTTTATACTGTTAAATAGATTGAAAGCTTTCAACTTGATTCCTTAGGAAATTATTCTCCCTCTTACTACAAGACTCAATAGAGGAGGTGAGAAAAAAAAGGAAGCTTTATTGATGGTCTTTAATTCATATCTGCAGGTTCCAGGCTCACTTTTGATGATAGTCTTTTATAATTGAAGTAGAACAAAAGCTATAGTCTATTCAGGAGGCCTATATATACATTGAGGAAGAGTTTACTAAATTTTTACTACCTCTTTCAAATAATTCTCACTGTACTTTAAATTAATTTTCTCTTGTAAAAAGATACATTTTGAAAAATAAATAAGTACCACGTAGCTCATATTTCAGGGTCATACTACTGAAACCAACATTAGATTGTGTTTCCAGTGATAGTGAAGGATTTGCATTACCTACCCCATGCTTTGTCAGAGCATAACTTGTAACATGTAAAAATCACCTAGATTGGATAAGGCTACGATCAGTGATTACGCAATAAAGTGAGGACTGTAGAGGAATTAAAATCTTATGTTTTTTATCTCATTTTCAAAACATTTATTTTCTAACCAACAAAAGTATATGTAGATATATATACTTATATATATTTAAAACTATATGTAGATATATATACTATATTATATATATTTCTATATATATATATATATCCATATAGATATAGACATAGATATTTGACCACAAATGGAATGAACTGTTTGCCTCTTACCAACTGAAATAGTGAATTTAGCTCCAAATCATGCAGGGTCATTTTTTTTCCAGTTCCAAATTGTGTATGCCAAGACTCTCCAGTACTGAAAACTGTTACCAATTCCTTTCCATCACCCTAACTGGAGTCTTCTCAACACTATCTGACATTAATAAGGGAGACAGGAAAGCACCTGAAACAATAGACTATCACTGCTGCCAAATTCCCCATCCATTTTACAAATGGAACAACGAAAGATTGAGGCTGTGCAGTTATTCTCTCATATAGCGAAGTTGAGGCAATGCAAATCTACTTTCACTGACACTGACTGTGTCCATGAGACAAACATCAGGCCTTCTCAGGACACAGGAGGATCTCAGGCACTCAGGCATTGACACACATCTGGGATCCTGCCCTCTACCCCCATGTATTATAAATCAATAAAATCAGATTTTACTAAGAGGAGCTAAAGTAAAACACAACTGATGGATATTTTTGTTATGTTTTGTTTTTAATGTCTTTGAATTTGTGACTCTAATTTAGGTCAAGAAACTTCTTTTACTTAGATTACTTAAAATATAATGAAACCTTTTTATCAGCTTCATTGTACTTCTTTCCAGAAAAAGAAATCAAATGTCTACATGAGCTTCTTCTAAGCTGGAACCAAGGCATCTGGTCCCAGTTAATTTGACAGCTACCACACAGTTATATGTATATATGTGTGTATGTGTGTGTGTGTGTGTGTATATACATGTATATATATTTGTATATATATACATGTATATATACACACACACATATATCATATATGTGTCATATGCTATATATCACATATATATGATTGTATTTACTAGAAGACTCGAAACGATGTTGTTTTCTATTATTAAAAATAATAACCGATTTTTATTTTTCCCTCATTTTGATGTTTATTTGATATTTGAGTACATTAAATTTCATGTGCAGTTAATTCTACTGCTACATTATGTTTTTAAGGGCTACTTATTGATCCCTGCATGATTTAGACAGTATTCAGAATAAAATTTTTTAATGTATTCAACGAACAGACCACATCCTATAGCTAGCTCATAAATTAATATCATTGGTCACAAAGGAAAATGGTCAAGGGAATGTGAATATCTCAGTAACACTGATATTTATTACTGGGGAAACAGTCTTGGACTCAGGGCATACAGATGTAGATCAGTTGTGTCATTGCTTGTATTCAAAGGCCACCATAGTATTAGTTGACAGTCTGTAAAGTTTAGCTGTACTTAAAAACCAATCTTGCTAATGTTAATATAGGCCTGGATATGTGTAGCATATTACTATCTAGGAATCTCTTATTCTTACATTCTACCTGCAAAACTAAGAGGCAGGGGTCGTTGCCATTCATCCTATTTTTTAGGAGCGATTCACTATGACTAAAATTTATTGTATCATTTAGAGAAAAAGTTTCTGAAATGCAGAAAGTAGAACAAATTTGGGTGTTCTATCTTTGAGTTCATACAATTAGTCCAGAAACTGGATCTTAAATAGCACAAGGCAATTTTCATAGTTTAAAGAGAGAAGACTGTAAATCTGGTTTATCATGTTCTTATCATTCTTTCGGAAACATGTGAGGAAATGTGAGGACCACTGTGAATCGAACAATAATCATAAAATTAGGAACAAAAGAAACAGACAGAACAAAGCCTTTTTTTCTCTTTTTTTCCTTTTCTTTTTTAGGATTCTAAATCACATACAAAACATTTGTTCTGCTCCAGCTCTTTGTGAACTAATTGGCTCTCCTGGAGGGATAGGTAATTGTACCTGACTACACAAGCTGTCCCGAAGCTCCCTTGGAAAGCTCCAGTAAGCTTCTAGTGTTAGCAGCCATCAAGGATTTCACAGGTCAGGCATCGGATCGATACAGCTAAAAGCAGCAGGGACTGTAATGTCGACAGCAGGTTTCAGAAAGCGCTGCAAGTGCCAGTTTGTTCCTCTTCATGCAGAAGCTCAAGACAGCTTAATTAACCCTTGGAAAATACAATTTATCCAGAGGCTCGGCAGGTCCCTACCAGGCCTTATTGGTGAACTGATAGGAGAGATACTGTAGCTGGCAGCGCTGAATTCCCATTTCCCCCTTTAATGCTGTTTCAGTTAGGATGCAAAGAAAACATAGTTTTCGGTGGATGTGTTCCTCATGTCCTGAAGAGCAGGCAATAGGAGGTAGCCTTAGAGGGGGGTTTGTTAGAACTCACTTGTGACTTCAGCAGGAGCAAGGCTGAGACTGAGCATTGATCATCCGAGCCCTGGGGTGAGAAATTGGGATGTGTGTGCATGGGTGTGTGTGTGTGTGAATTAGATGTGTGAGAGAGAGGTGTGTGTGTTGTGGGGCGGGGGGAGGTGTGTGACGGGGGCTGGGGGGAGAAAAGCAAAGGCATTTTTCTCTTTTTCACTGATATAAATGCTTCCGTGCCCCTGTGTAAAGGTGTTCTTTAATTGGTTGTCTGTTTGTCATGTCTCTAATATCATACAACCAAAAAGAGTGCAGATCTGAATATATTTTTACATACTTCATGTTGGAAGACAAAACACCTGCCAGAGATAACAATCAGGGAGAAGTTAATTTGTCACATGTTATACTCCAACCCTCACCTCCAGTGTTGCTCAACACATCATCAGTCTTTTCTCCTAATACAGTTCTTCCACACTAAGGCAAACTGCTGAAGAGACATAAATAAAGCTAGCAAGATACAGAAAATATTTGAAGTTAGTGGGGCTTGAGAAATTGTGGCCACATGAATGGTCTGGTGCATTCACTTAAATTGATTGTATCTACTTGTATTTGCATTCACATTCACATTAGCAACATTTTTAATGTGTATCATTTCAATTAATTCATTTACAAGTATTTTCCTAGGTTCATATCTATGGTCATGAGTGAGGGTTCATGGCGTTCAGGTTCCAGAACAGTGAACTCCCACACACATACTGGGTGGATAGATGCCATCTCCTTTCTGCTGGCTCATTTCCATTTATGATCAGAAGCAAAGTAGATTAAAGCGGAAGAAATGAAATTAAATACAGATTAGATGTGCAAACTATGGTGGCATATTTTAGACCAGGATCCAGCCATAATCTCTTCAAAATAATTTATAACAAGTGTAACAGGGTAAAAACAAACATAACAGATGGGAAGGGCCCTGCCCTCCTCCATTATCACCAGTCTCTCTTCCGAGAGGAGCAACATGTAACCATTTCTGTTACCAGCTCTTCCACTGGGTAGCATGCATTTATTCAACAAATATGTACTGAACAGTTACTGTGTGCCAGGCAATGTTTTAGACCCTGGTGATATGGAAATGGTAAAAATAGACACAAGGACGTCATCAAAGAGTTTACTTCCTTATGTGAATAGACAAAAGACAAACAAACAAAAATACATATGTATTAATATCTCAGGAAGTAACTATAAAGAAACATTAAGTAAGGTAAGAATACAAAGAGCTGGATTTCTATCATTATCATTAGCATAGCCAGGATGGTTTCTCTAAAAAGGTGACATATGAAGAAAATCGGAAAGAGAAGAGTGATGCTTCATGCAGTTATCTGTCCAGGGAAGGAGGAAGAGCTGTCCAGGCAGAAGCAGCCTATGCAAACTCCCTGAGATGAGAGCATGCTTGGCCTGACCACAGGAGAGCAAGAGAACTTTGTGATTGAAAAAAGCGAGAACAGGATGATGAGACAAGACAATAAGTCACAGATATAGTAAGATAAAATATATATAATGTAAGCCCTTATAGGCATTGACAAGTCACACAGCTAGGAAATGTAGATTTGGGTTTTAAACACAAGACTAACTGCATGCTACTAACCACCATGCTATACTGATCCTTGAAAACAAGGCCTTGTTTCACATAGGATTTGTGGTCATCTATGCTGTCTCCCACTGTACCCACCCCCCCCCCCACTTATTACTCTGATTAATCAATAGTTGACTATAATTCCAATTTAACTGACTTATTAACTGACCAGCAAGGATAGCTTTATATCTACTTGGACACAGACATCAATACTTTCCAGTTGTACATAGAGAGCACTGATAGAGGCTCAGTCAAGAATATGTGTGGGCTGGGGGCAGTGGCTCACGCCTCTAATCCCAGCAGTTTGGGAGGCTGAGACAGGAGGACTGCTTGAGCCCAGAAGTTGGAGACACAGCCTGGCAACATGGTGAAACCCTGTCTCTACAAAATAGACAAAAATTAGCTGGGCACGGTGGCAAATGCCTGTAGTCCCAGCTGCTTGGGAGGCTGAAGTGGGAGGATCGTTTGAGCCCAAGAGGTTCAGGCTATACTAAGCCGTGATTGCGCCACTGCACTCCAACCTGGGCAACAGAGTGAGACTTGTCTCTAAAACAAACAAACAAACAAACAAAAACAGTATTTTGTATGTCTTCCAATAACATTTCCAAAAGGCTGAGTACATATCCAGTCCTTGATTAGTGAGACTAGAAAGGACTTCAGAGGTTAATTAGTCAACCCTCTTCATCCTACAGATAAGGAAAGGAAGACCCAGAATGGTTAATATTTTCCTTTTCAAATTCAGAAAAGAAAAATAAACTCCCAGAGAGACAATTCGTGGGCTAGGAACTATGATCAACCTCAGGGTCCAGCAGACCCCTTTTTACCTTTTCTTCTTTTTCTGACCAACTCTGCCCCAATCCTGTCCTCCCAACCTCTATTTCTTTTTTTTTGTTTTTTAACTCTTATTTTAGGTTCGGGGTACATATGCAAGTTTGTTATATAGGTAAACTGTACGTCACAGAAGTTTGGTGTAGAGATTAATTAGTCACCTAGGTAATAAGCATAGTATTTGATCGGTAGTTTTTCGATCCTCTCCCTCCTCCCTCCCTCCATCCTCAAGTAGGCCCCTGTGTCTCTTGTTTCCTTCTTCGAGTCCATGTGTACTCAGTGTTTAGCTCCAATCTATAAATGAGAACATGCAGTATTTCCGGTCTCTATGTCTGATATCATCTTATTCAAGTTTATGAATTTTTAAAATTTCTTATGGCAGAAATGTAAGAAAAAGATGGATAAATAAAATTCCTAAACCTAATTTTTCATTTTACTGTCATCCTTTTCTTCTTCAAAGTATTTCACTGGAGGAGCTAGCAAACAAGAGGATAATTTACACCTATAAATTGCACTTTATTTCTAAGCCTTTGTGCTGTGAAGTTCAACAAAATGGTGGAAAATCGATTTGGGAGGGGATGAGGGATAAGAGGCAGCATGGGACAAAAAGCGTGGCACCAACTCACCAGTAACGGCCAGCTTGCCAAGGGATTTGAACAAGTCACTTACCCCTGCTAAACCTTACTTCCTCTTCTGCAAATTGAGAATTTGAATAGATAATCTCAAAGTCCCAGGCAGCACTAGAGGTTTTAGAGTCATGCCATCAAAGGAGTAGCACCTAGATGTCACAGCTAGTTCCCCAAAGCTAGATACCAGTCCTCTACTGTTATTTCTGTACATTTTATATAGCCACCATTCAAACTGTAGCATGCACTCCTAATTAGCATTTTATTAAAGCTCAGCTCATGTGTCTGTAGTCTGTTTTTCAAGATGACTTAAAAGAAATCAGAATTTGTGTGCTATTCATTCCCTCTCAAAAGCATATTTTCAAGATGTATTTAGGCAATAGTACTTTTCCAAAGCATAATTGTATCCTAATGTAAAAACTGCAAATATATTTCTTTTACCATGTTCGGCAAATCCTTAAATGACCTCATATTTTAGCATTATTATATAATACGCAAAGGAAGATACATCTTATGTGAACTTATACACATAAATAGGATTTTTAAAAAAAATTCTTGACACATTACCGTATGCTGCATGCTTTTTGTGGATTATGAAAGAATAAAAGACTAATATACTAACTGAAGTTTGAGAATTTCTGAACATCATCTGAATTTCTATAGCATCCACTCCATTTAATCACACATTCACGTATCAGTCCCAGTAACAGTGTCTTCAAAGTATTTACACATTGACTGACTTTGAATAAGCATTTTTATAGTTTCTTTTTATAACCAATCAATAGTAATGTCTGCATCACAAAGATAAGTGAATACAAGATTTGTTGACTGATGTTGCATATTTACATTACAGTTATTGCAATGTTTTTATGATCAAATTGGATATAAGAGGATTTGCAAATACACCTGTTTGTTTAATGACATTCCCAGTATAGTCTTTAGTGCTCCAGGAACCATTTAAACTGTCATGTTACCATCTAAAATAGCCGCCTCTATCTTTCTTCAGTTTTTACTTGGCTTCATTTTTCTTCCTAAGCTTACTACTATCTGAAATTATGCTATAAATATATGATTGAGCCTCAAACAAAGATGAGGGTTAGGGAGCTAGCCCCTTCCCCTCTCCCCCAACACAGCTGAAAATCCACATATACCTTTTGACTCCCCCAAAACTTAGAAACTAATAGCTTACTGTTGACTGGAAGCGTAACTGATAACATAAGCAGTCAACTAAAATAGATTTCATATGTTATATGTATTATAAACTGTATTCTTATAATAAAGTAAGCTAGAGAAAAGAAAAATATTATTAAGAAAATCAAAAGGTAGAGAAAATATATTTACTATTCGTTCAGCGAACATGGATCATCATAAAGGTCTTCATCCTCATCATCTTCAGGTTAAGTAGACTGAAGAGGAGTAGGAAGAGGAGGAGTTGGTCTTGCTGTCTCAAGAGTGGTGGAGGTGGAAGGGATGGAGGAGGTAGAAGGGAGACAGGAAAGGCAGGCACACTCACAGCAATTTGTATTGAAAAAAAATCCATGTATAAATGGACTCATGCAGTGCAAAACTGTGTTGTTCAAGAGCCAAATGTATGTTCATACTCGTTAACTGTCACTATAGGCCAGGCGCGGTGGCTCACACCTGTAAATCCCAGCACTGTGGGAGGCCAAGGTGGGCGGATCACCTGAGGTCAGGAGTTGGGAGACCAGCCTGGCCAATATGGTGAAACCCAGTCTCTACTAAAAATACAAAAATTAGCCTGTTGTGGTGGCACGCACCTGTAGGCCCAGCTACTTGAGAGGCTGAGGCAGAAGGATCACCTGAGAGGTGAAGGTTGCAGTGAGTCAATATTGCACCACTGCACTCCAGCCTGGGTGACAGAATGAGAATCCATCTCAAAAAAAAAAAAAAAAAAAAAAAAAAAAACTGTCACTATAATGTGAGGTGTTACATGAAGGTAAAAGCTTGACTGTCTAATCACTATATCACCAGCACTTACAAAAGCATTAATCACATAGTAGATGCAAAATACATATTTGTTGAATACATAAATAAACTTTGGATCATTTATATGTGATTGTAAACAGATGCACCTAACATTAAGTTGGTGCATAATGCACACACTCAATAATAGGTATATACTGTATTATTTAACATTAGGATACCTTGAAAACTGATCATCATCATACAATGAAATAAACAAACAAATATTAGATTGGGTATTTACAAAGTCATCTTAAAAAGCCGGAAGACCTCCACAGCTAAGGGTGAGTCCTGGAGATATTTTTCTGTTCAGGCTCTTTCAAAAAATAGTTTCATGGGAAAATAGCTAAATCTGTTATAATAACACATTCAAGAAAAACAATGTATCAGGTAAACAGGAATAGAAGGCAGTAGAAGTGTAGAATGGGAACCAGAAATTTGAAAGTTGGCAATGTGCCAGTCAATAATGTATAGGAACCAGAGTAACTGCAGCACTGGAGAAGTAAGACAAGGCTGCTTCATCAAGCCTCACTTATTACCATCAGTCTCAACTCTGATTCTGATCATACAAAGCAGTCTTTTGATTATGAATTTGCTTCTCAGGTTTCTTGATAAGGGGGAGGGAGCTTTCCCTACTTAGTGAATACTTCCATTATTTTATCTAGAAAGGGTATCTCTCATTAAAAATTAATAAACTGTATTTCTGATTTAGACATGACCTTTATTAGACTAACTTCATCCATGAGAGGCTACCTCACGTTCAGCTTATGACAACATCCATTTCATGAGATTCCGAGGCTGAGTCCAGACCCCGAACTGAGGTGATCCAATATAGAGGCCCTGTCAGCATTGTGACCAGCCAGACTTCATTGGTCATACCCTTATATAGCATATATGAATGGATTCATTAATTTCCTTGATGAAAAGTACATTTACATATATGTATTATTGTTATACAATCCTTTACACCTCACCAAGGCCTGCAATCTTTCACTCCTTTTTAAGTATTTTCAAGTTATCTCAAGTTAAAATAACAGACATACATTCAGAAGCTTTAACATCTTAAACAGGGAACAACTCCAGCCTCACAGAGGATGGCAAGGAGTGAACCTGCTACTACTCCATAGATGCCAGAAGTAGGCAACAAGACTTACTACAGCAGAGCAAGACAGTTTATTACTCACACTCAGCAAACAGAAAATGTGTCATCATTGTACTGCCTTGTACATGTTCCCCTTGCCTCCCAAGGCCCATGGGCATTATGATGAGCCAAATGGATGATTTGCGCACAGTGGGTTGGGTTGCAGCTGAGGAATACAGGATCAAGGGCAAGCAGCAAACAAGCTAGTAGTCACACTGTGGTCACTTTGACCAACTTAGCTTCCCTACATGACCAGCTACATAATTTGTTCAGTATCATGAGACAGGTAAAAGGGAAGTAAGTATATAGGTAATAAGCTGTTATGTTTTTGTTTTTGAGTTTACAACCCCTAAGGACTGCCTTCCAGTTTGGTTCACTTAGCATATGTCCAGTTCCAAAATAAAAATTTTATCCTATAAAGAATATTTTTATCTATGGTTCTTCCATGGCGACAACTCACAAGGAATTTTAGAAGTTGCTTACTCCATTATCTAATCAAATAATTACAGAAAGTATTAAATATATGTACAAACGCTTTTCAGAAAAAAAATAAGGCAAATAAATGAAGGTTGAATAATTCTGGAAACTTAAAGTAAAAACAGATACAAAATATTAAAATAAGAATAACAGTTATGAATCCTCTAGAATTATTTTTAAGAGAGTTACTAGTTTATGGAAGTTTTTTAGGGACAAAAATCTTCCAAGAAACTATGGAAATATTCAATGTATATTGACTAATAAAAAGTGACCCAAAAGATTCATTCACGAACCTTTTACTTATCCCAGTAGAATGGTTAGTAGTGAACCAGACAGTAGTGAAGGTCTAGAGAGAAGGATCAGCATGTGATCAGCAGGAGAGAGTCTAGTAGAAACGTTCGGTTTGAGAGGAATTATTTAAGTGTCTATATTTGGAATTCAGAGAAAATATGTGGAAATTTTTACATATTCATCCTAGATAATTAAGTTATATCCTCAATTTGTTCACTGATATAAATGTATTATCAAACTAACGCAAGAACAGAAAACCAAACACCGCATGTTCTCACTCCTAAGCGGGAGTTAAACAATGAGAACACATGGACACAGAGAGGGGAACATCACACACTGGGGCCTGTCGGCGGGTGCGGGGCTAGGGGAGGGATAGCATTAGGAGAAATACCTAATGTAGATGACGGGTTGATGGGTGCAGCAAACCACCATGGTACATGTATACCTATGTAACAAACATGCACATTCTGCACATGTACCCCAGAACTTAAAGTATAATAATAATAATAATAAGATAGATAATCTCATGTAGTTTGTGTGGTTTTTTTTTTAACACATCAGAAGGTTAAGCCAACAATTTCCATGGGTGGTTTTTAACATTCAGTACTAATTTAATCACACTTGGGGGGAAAAAGCTATTTTTCTTTCTCAATCTCAGCTTCTAAAGCTTTTCAATAAATCAAGAAAATAAAAATATAAGAAAACAAAAATCTTGCGTGAGGCAGTTGATACAATACAAAGGTAACTGACCTACGTTCTAGTGTTTTACTCTACCAATGCTAAGGTTAGAGCACTTAAGCAATTATCCTTCCTGGACCTTAAGAACTTATCTATATAAGAAGGAGACGTGGGATAGATGATTTGTATAGTTATTTTCTGCTCCTTAATCAGCTTTTCATTAAACAAATAAAAATATTTGAAGGATCAGGACTAAGAATTTGACCAGGAATAAATTAAAAGGGAATTAGAAAAAAATCTACATATTCTGATTGTTTCACCACAGGGAGCAAGACGTTTCTTCATTCAAGGCTGAGCCAGAAAACAACAAATACAAAACTTAGAATTAACAAAAAAGAAGGGGAAAAGTGTCCCAGTATGTAAAAGAACATTATCTCTATACAAGTAGGGCCTGCCATACTGAGATAAGTTATACATGAGATAAAATTAAATAATAAACAAAGATTAAAACAAGAAGAGAAAAAATATTATAGGAAGCAATTGCCCCAAAATAAAACTGCGGTAGCTAAATCTCAGAAGCACCAGAAAAGCCAACCTGAAACTGCAAAAAAATTAAATTATCAGTGTGTAGAACAAACATAAAAAAATTACCTTTAGTATGCTGAAGAAAAAGATAAAGTAATGTAAATCACGAAAGAAAGAAAACTACGGAAAAAGAATAAACATATGAACTATAAATAATAAGAATAAGAGGAAATCCAAAGTTAAGTAATCAAGGTGCAGAAAAAAGCATCTCTCTCATCCAAGAAAATGTTTAACCTAGACATGGAGGAGGCTCACTATGACTTAGGAAAAAAATAGATACTTATCAAAACATATTCTAATGAAATGCTTGATTCTTTAGTGTAAGGCTAGACTCATATCAGAGGAACAACAACTAAATTGGTCTCAGAATGCTAGAAGAAAATAAACATTTGTAGTACCTTGAAAGAAAACAGTTATGACTCAAGGATTTTTATACCCAAGCAAGCTGTTGTTATTACGTGAATGCCATTTTAAGATTATCGATGTTATCAGAGAATATACCATTTCGTACTTTTTCACACACGGAAAAATAAAAATTTGCTCCATGTTACCACGAGATAAATCAAAACTAAAAACTGAATAATGAGAAAGAAATTGGAGATTTGACTGGCAGTGAGTATTGATATTAGTTAAAAATCTAGAGATAAGCCCAAAGCAATGTTGTTCTGTTACGAAAACATCAAATTCATGGAATGTTAAAAAATATTCTAGGACAAATTGACTCCATAGTCAAACAATTTTGAGAAAGTTTGCATAATGCAACTTCCTGAAGACAAGCCACAATATTTATGATTATATTAATCTCTCTTTAAAATCTCTCTTAAAATAAAGATGTCAATATAATTGTGCTTACCTCAGGCAAGCCTCATTGCCAGGTTTCCCTTACCATTAAAGATTTTCTTTTTTCAAAACACTTATTAATGTATTATAAAATAGAGTGTTTGGGGGCAGTCACAGATGGGGAAATGCTAGCCTAAATAATTGTGATAAATGGACCTAAAAAGAAAACATAAGAGACAAAAATTATAAAGCAATACTTGTTAAAAAGAAAAAGAGGGGATCAACATGACAAAGATGAAGATGACAAAGATGGGATGGATAATGTATTGGGAACTAATAAAGTAGACAAAGCAACATATACAATTTTCATCTTCCATTTGAAGAAATCAAGTTTTTTTTTGAATTGCAAGAAAATAAATATGTTTAAAAATGGTTTTGGAAATCAAACACTGAAAAATTTAAATGCATTTGCCTAACTGCAGATCAAGGAGAAAATACATTATAAATTTAGTTATTTTTTATTTACACTTTTAATTTAAAAAAATAACAATTTAGAAGAATAATAAAATTAGGAATATTTATATATCTAAGTTTTTGGAGTAAAACTAAAGCTGCATCAAAAGTAAATTCACATCTTATATACAACTTTTATTAAACAAAGAGAATCAAAAATTAAATGAATTAAACTTTATTTCAAGAATTTAGAAACAATACTTCAAGAAGTTCTAAGGAAATGAACAGAAAGGAAATACTAAATATCAAATCAAAAATAAATGAAATCTAAAACAGAAAAACTGAGGAAATCGCAGAAACAAAAGCCTTGAGCTGATTTCTTGTATTGCGGTCAGCTGAGGCTATGCTTAAGCAGCTTAAGAAATCTCTCCTCTTATTCTGCCTTTGGAGCACCCTTGCTTTGATTTGGTAGCCCCATTGTCCACCTTATAGCTTCAAACATGTTTTCTGTCCATATGCCGAGGTCTTTCAGCTTCGCTATAAAAGAATTCCATTGACCCCTTGGTATGGACGTGTTTCAGTTTCAGTTTCCCCCCCGTAACCTATTTTTTTCATATAATGCTATATTCTACCCTTTGTAGCTAAGGTCCAGAATCTTAGGTTTGAGTATGGGAGGGAAGATGGAGTATTACAAATGACAAAGGGCATATAAAATGTATATATATATTTATATTTATATACACAGAATGTATATCTTTTATAATGTAATATTTATGATGTAAACATATAATCATATATTTTAAATCATAAATAATATAACATTATTAATATTTATATTTACATATATATACACATATATATTCACATTCCACTAAAAAAAGTTCATTATATGAGACTATTGTATGTTTTCCCCAAGTCAGAATTTTCTGAAATGGACATTTTCTGTAAAAATATAAGCCATTATTACATAGTAACAAAGAAGTAACAAGGTAAATCAGAAATTAAAAATAAAAACAAATGTAAAAGAATTGTCTATTTAAAAAGATCTTGGCTTGAATTCTTTGTGGATTTTTTTTATCTTCATGAAACAGATCCTTCTTTTAATATATATTTTTCTTAGCACATAGAGAAAATACAAAGAAAACAAAAATCTAGCATAGAGAAAATATAAAGAAAACATTAATTTTGAAAGCAGTCAATGATAAAAGGATATTGGAGAAAACCTCACATAAACATATATGCAAGAGTACTTTAAAACATTAGCAAATATAATTTCAAACTTTAATTTAAAATTAAATTCAACTTTAATTACAATTGTCTTACATAATAATATCATTAAAATTTATTATAAAGCAAAATAAATCTATGTAAACCCATTACTAAATTTTAACAAATGTCAACTCATGACCAATCTTGTTTCCTCTATAATTCTACTCTCTTCTCCCTTCTACTACCATTGCTAGATTACATTAAAACCAGTCTCAGACATTGTTACATTTTATCTTTAAATATTTCATAAGACTCTTAATTGATAGGATTTTTTTTCCTTTTTTGTTTTTCTTGCTATTTATTTGTTAAAGAGACTATAGAGCTTTTCACACTCTGGACTCTGCTGGTTGCATCTCTGTAGTATTATTTACATGTTGCTCTATTCCATGTATTTCTTATAAACTGGTGGTAAGGTAGACAGTCTTAGCATTGGGGTGCCCAGTTTCAATAATTCACTAGAACTCACAGGACTCAACATATAGCCATACTCATGGCCATCATTTATTACAGAGAAATAATACAAAGAAAAATCAGCAAAGGGAAAAGGTATGTGGGACAAAATCCAGAGGAAATCAGGTGCAAACTTGCAAGAGCCCTCTCCTAGTGGGATAACATAGTACTCACTTAGCAGTAAATGACAGCACATGTAAAATGTTGTATACCATTGAGGATTGTCATGGAGGCACCCTCTGCCTGGTATATACAATTCAAGACTTCCATAAAGAAAGCAGGGTTCACCATAAACCACATTGCTTGTTTAAACAGTTTAAGTACAGTAAGTATTCTTAGTAGGTAATGATGGTAACTCCCTTGAAATTCAGCTTCCAGACACCAGTCAAGGATCAACCCATCTTGCAAGCAGGGCTTTCTCTAAGGATAAGATGTCTCAGGACTGCTAACTTTTTTCCACACAGTCTTAATTTTATTTATCTATTTATGTATTTATTTATTTATTTTGAAAGAGTACTTTGTAGGTAAAATATTCCTCTGGGAGGCTCACAATTCCTGCTTATATCTATTTTTGTGATGATAGTATCCATTTATAATTAATGCCTATATCCATTTATTTCATTTAGGGTTGAAAATTTATGATATTATATTATTTTTTCACTTATTAGTTGGAATACTTACATAAAAAGAAGGCAATTTAATAAAATAAAAAATACAGGAAAGTCTGCTTTACATAGGAAAGGTAAAAACAAAAATGCTTCAACTCATTCCTTAGCAATCTCAAAGGTAATTGGTAAGATTTTTAAAAATTATTATTATGTATTCATGTATTTAAACATATTTCATGTATCCAACTCATTACAGTTAACCTAATTACTGTACCTAATTACATTGAATTGTCTTTGGCCAATAAGAGCTTCTTCAGGTTGGCTCTGGGGACCTGTTGACCACTGTAGTTTTTTACAGCATCCTTGCTTTATGGCTTGACACAGTATTCCAGTTTATCATGCATATTTTCTGCCTCAGACCTTGGTTTGTTTTACTGGGAAATGGTACTTAGAGGCCACAATATGGCAATTGTGGGTGTTCATTACTATCAAGTTTGGCATTGTTTCTAGGCTTTTCAGTAGATAAATCTATGAAACATGTTTTTTGTTTGTTTGTTTGTTTCATCAGAAAATATATTATGACATAATATTGATATTTCTAACTCCAATGTATAATTTCAGACTCAACTTCCTTAATTTTTAAAAATCTACACCTCTCTTACCAAAAGTTTTAATTCCTAATAACATTAATGTGTTTATTTGCTTTATCTTACTATACACATGCAACAGTTACACGATAATACCACTAACAGTAGATTACCAGAAACAGTTTATTTTTTTCTGCATTATTTTGGTCTTTAGCATATAACCCATTAAGAAAGTTTAGCCAGTTTACTATATTTTAAAATCTCTTGGAGTGATTAGTTTCTGGGAGATTACGCCATGAATTCAATACAGAATAGATTCATTTGTCTCATTTTAATTTTGTTTTTAACTGTTTGTATTCTTTGTCTTAATTTTTAATATTTATGTAAAACGCATCCATGATTAAAAAGTCAAATCTATAAAGAAACGAAACATATAAATTTGTTTATCTTAAATATTTATGTTCTTTATTTCTTCTTTTGGCCCTATAGATAATCATTCATTGTTGTCTACAACATGCTTTTCCTTTTCACTTAAAAACCTATACTAAGAATTATTCCATATGTATGTATAAAAATATTCCTCGTTTCTTTTTACAGCTACATATTTCCATTGTGTACAATAGTTCAATCAATCTTCCATTGATGAGCATTTGGGTTCTTTCTAGTCTTTGCTGTTATAAATGGTTCTCTAGTGAGTAGTCTTGTGAACATGCCTTTTCATATTTTTCCTGAATATCTTTGGAATAGATTCCTAGTAATTAGTTTTCTGGGTCAAAGTGTAAATGCTTATGAGTTTTGTTAGACATTGCCAAATTTTCTTCCATAGGGATTGTACCATTTTGTATTATCACCAGCAATATATAAGAGTGCCTATTTCCTCACAGCCTTGCCAACAGTTGTCAAACTTTTGGATTTTTGCCAACCTGATAGGGGAGAAGTAATAACTCAGTGTAATTTTAATTGGCGTTTCTCTTACGGATAAATTTGAACATATTTTCCTATTTTTAAGGGCCAAGCAAATGCAAGTACAAAATATATAAAAAGTATGATCTCTTATTAACAAGTAAATTTATTCCAACTAAACAAGAGTGTTGACTAATAAGAAACAGATTATAATACATAAGTGTATCAAATTTAAATATGTTTACTCAAAATAGTCTAAAAAGCATTTGCCAACATGTCATTCAATACCCATGCCTTTGGATTTTTTCACTTTAAAATCTGAATTTCTATATAACGAATTCTTTTTATATATTTACCTCTCTTGCCGCCTTACCTCTCAATAAGATGAAAGGAAAAGAGCTACAAAATAATAATTATCTAGCAGCACTGTCAAACTATGAAGTGGGCCATCAAAGCAGCAGTAAATTTTAGGATTTTGTGGAAGATATGATGAAACTATGATTAAAATTGCAAAGAAGCACATCATTTTCAAGAGCTAAAATTTAACGATAAAGAAAGGACAACTTCCTGAGAGGTTTTCACTTCTTGAAAGATATATATATATATCCCCAAAAGTCTCAGAGGAACCTCTGCGTTCAAAGCAGCTGAGGCCAATATCTAGTGGAGAAAAAAAAATTAGTTGAAAATTGTTCTTCTTTAAGAAAGAGCCCATTTTAGTTCTATGAGGGCTTATATGAGGGAGAAACACTTAAACACCTGAAACTGTAAGATGAGAAGGAGGTAGAGAAGCCAGATGCCAAAAACAAACTGTAAGGTGGAAGGTGAGGAGGTAGACATGTTCCAGAAAATGAGAGTGACATGTGCAAAGGCTCTGAGGAAGAAGTTAGCTTAGTGTTTGTTGCAGATTAAAGAATGCTGGGAAAGATAACAGAAACAAGTTAATATTTTATTCTAAGCAAAATGGAAAGCCATATAAGGTTTTTATATTTATTTAAAGCTATTGTTTCTGCTGTGAAGAAAATGGATCGAAAGAAAAACTGATAAAGCTTTAATCATAAAGAAATATTTTATAATATCTTTCTTTCCAAAATTGTCAGATCAAGTGTGAACTTGACAATTAAACAAGATTTAATTGATCACAAAAGTCCAACAGATTAAAATATTGGTAATTCTAAAACAAACTAACATAAAATACTCACACTTTTAAAGTATATATGGGATTTTTTTATAAATTGTCTACGTAGTAAGATGTATAGCAAAATCCCACTAAATTCAAAAAGGCAGACAGGCCATATTCTCTTATTACAGTGCAAAGAACAAAAAACTAAATATAAAATTATAAATCTAGTCTCATAAAAATAGGAAAAAAATTCTTCTAAAAAATTAGCTGAAAGTATAGACTCTTTAGAATTCAGTGAAAATTTGAACATATAAACTGTGAGATAAAGGCAAAGCCACTTCAGAGAAAAATTCATAGGAATATGTACTTCAATTATTAAATAGAAAACATTTAAAGATTAAGGAAACAGCCAACTGTAAAACTAGAAAACATACATCAAAGGAAATCAAAAAGTAGGCAGTAAAAAGAATTAATGAAGATAAAAGCAGAAAATAATAAACTGCAAAAACATACTCAAGATAAAACAGCCAACCCTTACTTGATGAATAATGCCATCAAACAATATAAAAGCTATTTATATATACACACAGAAACTTAAAAATTACATAATAATAATGAAAGAATTGATCATCTCATAGGTTTGAGAGATCAGGTAGGCTATACAAATTGATAAAGATAATTTAAACAATATAAGTTTTAAGATATGTTAAACTTTATACAGCATATCATAAATTATAGAGATTACATGTTATTTATTATGTTTCATGAATTAGCTATAAAATTATTTCATCATATTTTAGACCATAGACAACCCTTAACATTTTTAAAGTAAAATTTGTGAAAACGATGTTCTATAATCACAATGAAAAAAAATATACTGTTACCAAGAAATTGATAACAAAGATACATTTAATACCAAGGTATTCATATCAGTGACTGAGATGAAACACACCCCAAATCAACCATGCTCCAAACACATAAAAATGCTAAACAAAATCAGACTGACAGTAAATTTCTTAGAAGCAACAGTAAGTGCCAAAAAACAAGGATATACTCTATAGACTTTTTATATTAGTTTTCTATTGCTGCCTTAACAAATTACCACAAACTTTGTGGTTTCAAATAACACAAATGTATTATCTTGAAATTTTTGGCTCTGACCCCCTTCCTCCATCTCTATTTTTTAAATTTCAATTTTATTTTAGATTTGGGGTGGGGTACACGTGCATGTTTGTTACAAGGGGATATTATATGATGCTAGGTTTGGTCTTCTACTGATCCCGTCACCCAGACTGCAAACATAGCACCCAGTAGGAAGTTTTTCAGGCCTTGTACTCCTCCCTCCTTCCTTTCGGAGTCCCTACCACCTGTCCCCAACCATGTACCCAAGATTCTAAGATTTGGCTCCTACTTATAAGTGAGAACATGCCATATTTGGTTTTCTCTCTCTCTTTTTTTTTTTTACTTTTATTTTTGGTTCAGTTGGGTACATGTGCAGATTTGTTACATGGGTAAGTTGCATGTCACTGGGGTTTGATATGCAAATGATTTCTTCACCCAGGGAGTGAGCATAGTATCTGATAGGTATTTTTTGACCCTCACCCTCCTCTCACCCTCCACCTTCAGGTAGACTCCAGTGTCTGTTGTTCCCGTTTGTGTCCACATGCAATCAACGTTTAGCTCCCACTTATAAGTGAGAGCATGTGGTATTTGGTTTTCTGTTTCTGTGATAAGTCACTTAGGATAATGGCCTCCAGCTGCATTCATATTGCTGCAAAGGACATTATTTCATTCTTTCGTGGCTGTGTAGTATTCCATGGTGTATATGTACCACATTTCTTTATTCAGTCCACTGTTCAGCATCTAGGCTGATTCTATATCTTCACTATTGTGAATAGTGTTGTGATGAACATACAAGTGCATGTGCCTTTTGGTAGAATGATTTACATTCCTTTGAGCATATATCCAGTAATGGAATTGCTGGGTCAAGTGGTAGTTCTGTTTTAAGTTCTTTGAGAAATCTCAAAACTACTTTCCACAGCGGCAGAACTAATTTACATTCCCACCAGCAGAGTATAAGTATTCCCTTTGCTCTGTAACCTCGCAATCATCTGAATGTCTGTTATTTCCTGACTTTTTAAATAATAGCCATTCTGCAGGTCAAGCATTTTTTCGTATGCTTGTTAGCCACTTGTATGTCTTCTTTTGAGAAGTATCTCTTCATGCCAGTTACTCACTTTTTAATAGGGTTGTTTGTTTTTTGCTTATAAATTTAAGTTCCTTATAGATTTCTTATTGTTTCTGGATATTAGATCTTTGTCGCATTCATAATTTGCAAATATATTCTTCCCTACTGTAGGTTGTCTATTTACTTTGTTGAAAATTTCCTTTGCTGTGCAGAAGCTCTTTAGTTTAATTAGGTCCCACTTGTCTACTTTTGTTTTCATTGCAATTGCTTTTGGAGAATTTGTCATGAAATATTTGCCAAGACCTATGTCCACAATGGTATGTGCTAGATTGTCTTCCAAAGTTTTTATAGTTTCAGGTCTTATATTTAAATTTTTAATTCCTCTTGAGTTGATTTTTGTATATGGTGAAAGAAAGGGAATCAGTTTCAATCTTCTGTACATGGCTAGCCAGTTTTCCCAGTACTGTTTATTGAATAGAGAGAGAGTCCTTTCCCTATTGTCAACTTTGTCAAAGATCAGATGGTTTTAGGAGTGTGGCTTTATCTCTTGGTTCTCTAACCTGCTCCATTGGTCTATATGTCTGTTTTTGTACCAATATCTGCTGTTTTGGTTACTGTAGTCTTGTAGTATAATTTGAAGTCAGGTAGTGTGATGCCTCTGGCTTTGTTCTTTTAATTTAGGATTGCTTTGGCTATTTAGGATTTTGTTTGTTTGTTTCCAAATGAATTATAGAATCATTTTCTTCTAATTCTGTGAAAAATAACATTGGCAGTTTGATAGGAATAGTATTAAATCTATAAATTGCTTTGGGTAGTATGGCCATTTTAACAATATTGATTCTTGCTATCCATAAGCATGGAATATTGTTTCATTTATTTGTGTAGTCCCTGAGTTCCTTCAGCAGTGTTTTGTAGTTATCATTGTAGAGATCTTTCATATCCCTGGTTAGCTGTATTCCTGGGTATTTTTTTTCTTTTTGTGGCTTTTGTGAATGAGATTGTGTTTTAGATTTGGCTTGCAGGTTGGACATTGTTGGTATACAGAAATGCTACCGATTTTTGTACATTAATTCTGTGTCCTGAAATTTTACTGAAGTTGTTTATGTCCTAGGAGACTTTGAACAGAGTCTATGACGTTTTCTACATATAGACTGATATCATCTGCAAAGAGAGATCGTTTGACTTCCACTCTTCCTATTTGAATGCCTTTTATTTCTTTTTCTTGCCTGATGGCTCTGTTTAGGGCTTCCAGTACGATGTTGAATAGGAATGGTGACAATGGGCATTCTTGTCTTGTTCTGGTTTTCAGGTGGAATGATTCCAGCTTCTGCTCGTTCAGTATGTTGCTGGCTGTAGGTTTGTCAGAGATGGCTCTTATCATTTTGAGTCATGTCCCTTCAATGACTAGTTTGTTGAGGGTATTTAACATGAAGGGTGTTGAATTTTATCTAAAGCCCTTTCTGCATCTATTGAGATGATCGTGTGACTTTTGTTTTTATTTCTGCTTATGTGATGAATCACATGTATTGATTTGCATATGCTGAACTAAGCTTAAGTCATAGAAATAAAGACTATTTGATCATAGTGAATTAGCTTTTTTTTCTACTTTAAGAGTATTGTTTAATAATGTATGTTACAAAAAAAGGACTTAATGGGTGAAAAAATAATTCATTAACATACTTGGTGCTGATTCCAAAGCATAAAGAAAAATACCACTCAGTATGAAGTTCGGGTGATTCTTAAAAAATTGAACATATCCAAAAATTTGTTAATAAATAACCAGGTTACAGATGGACATAGTCAGAAACAATTAGAAAAAAATTATTACAGTAATTCCTACAAATTCACAGTGTGGGACATAATGCTTTACTTTCGATTTGCCTCATAGCTACATTCTAGATCTCAGCCATGTCCACTTCTAAGCCTTGATAACAGAAGACCTAAAAAGCCAGTCACTTGCTTAATAAACATTTTATGAAATTTAAGTCATTGACATCATAAAATTAAGGCAAGCAGAACAATCTTTATGAAATTTCAAACATGCTGCCAACTTACCATCCCGATCTAAATCATATTGATTGACATATTGGGTGCCACATCACTAGAGACATGGATCATGTGATCCCTCAGGCCAAGTATCTTTTTTTTTTTATATATTGGCTTACTTGATTTGTTTCCTTCCTTCCTTCCTTCTTTCTTTCTTTCTTCCTTTTTCTTTTTCAGCACATGCAGGTTTGTTTCATAGGTATACATGTGTCATGGTGGTTTGCTGCACCTATTGACCTGTCCTCTAAGTTCCCTCCCCTCACCCCCGACCCTACAACAGGCCCTGGTGTATGTTGTTCCCCTCTCCATGTCCATGTGTTCTCAATCTTCAACTCCCAATTATGAGTTAGAACAGGAGGTGTTTGGTTTTCTGTTCCTGTGTTAGTTTGGTGAAGATGATGGCTTCCAGTTTCATCTATGTCCCTGCAAAGGATATGATCTATTGTTTCCTGACTTTTTCTTTTCATAGCTGCATAGTTTTCCATGTGGTATATGTACCATGTTTTCTTTATCCAGTCTATCATTGATGGGCATTTGGGTTGGTTCCATGTCTTTCCTATTGTAAATAGTACTGCAATAAACATACGTGTGCATGTGTTTTTGCAGTAGAATGATTTATATTCCTTTGGGTATATACCCAGTAATGGGATTGCTGGGTCAAATGGTATTTCTGGTTCTAGATCCTTGAGGAATTACCATACTGTCTTCCACAATGGTCGAAGTAATTTACATTCCCACCAACAGTGTAAAAGCATTCCTATTTCTCCATAGCCTGGCCAGCGTCTATTGTTTCCTGACTTTTTACTAATCGCTGTTCTGACTGGCATGCGATGGTATCTCATTGTGGCTTTGATTTGCATGTGAATTAGCTTTTTAATGTGTGCTGCTAGGTTCAATTTGATATTATTTTGTTGAGGATATTGCATCTATGTTCACCAGGGATATTGGCCTGAAATTTTCCTTTTTCATGTGTCTCTGCCAGGTTTGGTATTGGAATGATGTTGGCCTCATAGAATTAGTTAAGGAGGAGTCCCTCCTCCTTGATTTTTTGGAATAATTTAACCCCAGCACTAGCACCCTCTCTTCTTTATATATCTGCTAAAATTCAGTTGTGAATATGTCTGGTCCAGGGATTTCTCTGGTTGGTAAGGTTTTTATTACTAACTCAACTTCAGAACTTGTTATTGGTCTGTTCAGGATTTCAATTTCTTCCTGGTTCAATCTTGGAAGGTTGTGTTTCCAGGAATTTATTCATTTATTTTAGGTTTCCTGGTTTGTGTGCATGGAGGTGTTCATAATAGTCTCTGAGGGTTTTTTGTATTTCTGTAGGATTTGTGGTAATGCTCCCTTTGTCATTTCTGATTATGTTTATTTGGATTCTCTCTCTCTTTTTTTGTTAATCTAGCCAAGAGTCTATAAATCTTATTAATTCTTTCAAAGAACAAATTTTTGGTTTCATTGACTTTTTCCATGAATCTTTGCATCTCAACTTCGTTCAGTTCAGCTTTGATTTTGGTTATTTCTTTTCTGCTACCTTTGGGGTTGGTTTGCTCTTATTTTTCAAGTACCTCTAGATGTGCTGTTAGATCATTAATTTGAGACCTTTCTAACTTCTTGATGTAGGCTTTTAGCACTATAAACTTTTATCTTAACACTGCTTTAGCTGTGTCCTGGAGGTTCTGGTATATTTATCTTTGTTTTCATGAGTTTCAAAGAATTTTTTTTATTTTTGCCCTAATTT
Source organism: Homo sapiens (assembly GCF_000001405.40). Classification (NCBI taxonomy): domain Eukaryota; kingdom Metazoa; phylum Chordata; class Mammalia; order Primates; family Hominidae; genus Homo; species Homo sapiens. Next base: position 57,980,283 of record NC_000002.12, read on the forward strand.
CATTCTTTACCCAAAATCATTCAAGAACAGGTTGTTAAATTTCCATGTAATTGTATGGTTTTTGAGAGAACTTCTTGGCATAAATTTTTACTTTTATTGCATTGTGGTCTGAGAGTGTGATTAGTATGATTTTGGTTTTTTTGAATTTGTTGAGAATTGCTTTATAGCAGAGCATGTGGTCAACCTTGGAGTATGTGCTGTGTGCAGATGAAAAAATATATATAAATTCTCTTGTTGGGTGGAGTATTTTGTAGATGTCTCTCAGGGTCATTTGGTCAAATATCAAATTTCGGTACTGAATATCTTTGTAAGTTTTCTGTCCTAATGATTTGTCCAACACTGTCAATTTGTGTTGAAATTTCCACTATTATTGTGTGGTTATGTGTCTCTTCAAGGTCTACAGAAATTTGTTTTATGAATCTGGGTGCTTCAGTGTTGGGTGCATATACATTTAGGATTGTTAAGTCTTCTTGTTTAATTGAACCCTTTATCAATACATAATGCCCTTCTTTGTCCTTTTTGATCATTGTTGGTTTCAAGTCTGTTTTGCCTAAAATAAGAATAGCAACGCTTGCTTTTTTTTTCTTTTCTGTTTGCTTGATAGATCTTTCTCCATCTCTTCACTTTGAGCCTATGGGTGTCATTGCATATGAGACATGACTCTTGAAGACAGTATACAGTTGGGTCTTGCTTCTTTATCCAACTTGCCACTGTGTCTTTTAAGTGAAGCACTTAGCCCACTTACATTCAAAGTTAATATTGACATGTTAGGATTTGATCCTGTCATTGTGTTCTTATTAATAGCTAGTTTTTATGTAGATTTGATTGTATAGTTGCTTTATAATGTCAGTGGGCTATGTACTTAAGTATATTTTTGTGGTGGCAGATATTGGTCTTTCATTTCCATGTTTAGCACTCCCTTAAGGACCTTTCATAAGGCAGCTCTCCCATGGTAATGAATTCCTTAGTATTTGCTGGTCTGAAAAAGGATTCCATTTCTCTTTCACTTATGAAGCTTAGTTTGGCCAGACATGTAATTCCTGGGTGGAACTTCTACCCTGGGTGGGTGGAATGTAGGCCCCAAACTATTCTGGTTTGTAAGGTTTCTGCTGAAAAGTTTGCTGTTAACTTGACACTGTTCCCTTTTTATATTACCTACCCCTTCTCTTTAGCTGCCTTTAAGATTTTTTTATTTCATGTTGACTTTGGAGAATCTGATGATTATGTGTCTTAGGGATGAGTCATCTTGTGTAGTATCTGGCAGGGGTTCCCTGAATTTTATGATTTGCATGCCAACCTCTGTGGTGAGACTGAGGAAGTTTTTGTGGACAATATTCTAAAATACGTTTTCCACATTGCTTGCTTTCTCTCCATCTCTTTCAGGAGTGCCAATGAGTCATAAGTTTGGTTTCTTTACATAATCCCATATTTCTTGGAGATTTTATTCAATTTCCAGAAGTTTAATTTGGTTCTTTTTCAAAATGGCTATGTAATCTTTCAGTTGTTAGGCCATTTTACTGTGGTCCTTGGATTGGGTTTCAACCTTCTTCTGCATGTTGATGAGCTTCCTTGCCATCCAGATTATGAACTCTATGTCTATCATTTCAGCCATTTTAGTCTGGTTAAGAGCAATTGCTGGGGAACTAGTGCAGTCATTTGGAGTAAAGAAAACACTCTGCTTTTTAGAGTTATCAGAGTTCTTGCACTGGTTCCGTCTCATCTGTGTGGGCTGATGTTCCTTTAATCTTTGAAGTTTCTGTCTTTTGGATGGAGCTTTTTGCTTTTATGTTCTTTGATGCCCTTGAGGGTTTGACTGTGGTATAAGTTGGATTTAGTCAATTGGCTTCATTCTGGATGCTTTCAGGGGCCAAGATTCAGCTCAGCACTCCTGGGCTATGTGCTGTAAGCCTGGGGAGCTGGAACCAGGCCTGCAGCTTTGCTCTCTGGCTTCTTCAGGTTAAGCACCTGCTGCACTGGAGGGGCTGAGGTATTCCCAGTTTGCTGGCAACAACACTCTAATGGGGGCTGCTGGCAAAAGTGCTCTGGGCGGAGGGTGGCATTGAGTCCATGCACACACATGTGCACCGGCAGGAGCTGCAGTAGGTCCCTGCATGCAAAAGCACTAGTGTCACTTCACCAAAGTGACTGAAGCAGGCTGTAGGCAGGTGCACACCAGCAGGGGAAGGCTGCAGGCAGGTGCTTGCCAGTGGGGGAAGGCTGCATGCAGGTATGCAATGGCTGTGGGAGGCTGCAGGCTGGTATACATTGGCAGGGATCCACCTGAAAAAGCACTCTGAAGGTTAGGTGGGGTCTGCTGATGAAAGAGCTACAGGAGTGGCCAGTGGCAAGCTGAGGCTGCCCTGCAAGCAGGTGCAGCAAGGCAGGAACCCTAGGAGGGGCTGGCAGATGTGGAGAATAGAGGACACTCAGATCAGACTTACCCTGTCCCACAAGCAAGACAGCCCTGAACTATCCAGGTCTGGCAGCCAGTAAAGGCTACAGCCACCTAGGGCATTACAGTGAACATTGGGGAATGGGCACCAATGGCCATGCTCCAGTGCAGCCGTTCCCACACCAAACCATCAAGGCTCCACACGGGCTAGACTTCTGTCTCTGCCAACTCTCTAGATAGTTCTCCTTGACAGCTCAGATGTCTTTGGGTGTTGTGGAGTCTCCCGCAGCTAGGATCCCAGAGGTCCATGGACCACGCCACACTTACTTCATTCACCCCTTCCCTAGGAGCTGCTCAGGGCCAGAAATGAATCCTGACACTGGGCCACTCTGTCCAGGGTTTCCAACTTCCTCCTTTTTTAGCCCACATTTGTGTCCTCCCTCTGTCCACTCTCAACGCCTTCTTTCCAAACATCTGTTCAGAGTATGCTGATCTACTTGAGGGCCTGGTTTCTCTCGTGGGTGAAGCTCTTCCTGGCTGTATCTAGTCAGCCATCTTGGCTCTCTCTTTCCATCTTTAAAGCCAACAATACTGCATTTCTTTAACCCTTCTTTCATATATACGTCCTCTGACCATAGCCAGGAAAGGTTCTCAGCTTTTAAGGACTCATTTGATTAGATTGGGCCCACCTGGGTAACCTGGGATAACTTTCCCATCTCAAGGTCCACAGCCTTAATCACATCTGCAAAGTTCCTTTTTTTATGTAAGATAACATATTCACAGGTTTCAGAGATTAGGGCATAGAGATACTTGGGATGTCATTATGCTACCACAACCCTGCCAAACTGCCATATAAGTATAAAGAAAATGGGAGGGAAAGGCATAGAAAAAAACTAATAATGGATTCTAGATCGAAAGTATTTGCCTTCCTTTCACATTTTGTGTTTTGGGATTTATTTCTCCTGCTGAAAAGTTTACTGTCAATAAGAGGGAATTAGAGCCTGCAAGGGAGAGTGTATACAATGCTGCACAAAAACATGTTAGAAAATCAAATAAATCTTGGCTGAAATAATGATTACAATAACCATCATGATGAAAATTTGGAGGATTAAACACAGTGATACTTAGTATGACAATAATATTAAAGTCAGTTAGAAAATAGTTGATGAAATAATTGTTTGATCTTTTTTCTTTGATCAATACTTAATATAAAATTAGCCAATCAAAGATAAAGTCATCAATATTGATATAACAGCTTTGAGGGAATTGGATAAGTTAGGAAATGGCAAGATAGGGGGACATCAAAAAAGATCACTGGGGTTCCCATATACTTCCTGCATGGCTGATACTCTAAGCCAGGAGCTCACAAACTTTTTCTATAAAGGGCCACAGAGTAAATATTAAAGACTTTGAGTTTTGTACTGTCTTCATCACAACTACTCAACTCTACAATTGTGGCAATAAAGCAGCCATAGAAAAAGTGCTGATGTATTGTCTAAATTTAATTTTTAGAGCCTTATATTAAATATGAACATCATTGTTCCATATGAATAGTTTTTTTAAAGTGACAATCAAGAACACCTTGATATCACAACCTAACAAAAAAAAAGCAAACAACAATAAAAAACACTGTGCAGTACAACTAAATGTATCACTGAAAATGAGAGGAAAAAAACCCTCTTAGCAAAGTGTTTTAAGTATGTTAAGAGAAAAATACTCAGTGACCAAGTAGGTCATTTCTAGAATCCAAGAGTGGGAAATATGTCAATACAATTTATCTCTGGTAAGAGAAGAAAAACCATATAATTGTATGGATAAGTGCTAAAAGGCATTGTATTTTTAGCTAACTATGGCACACACTTTTAAAAGTTTGATAAAATGCAATCTTCTTACTAAACTAACAAAGGGAAGATCCTTGTTTAACATAATAAAGATGCTTAACTCAACCCAGTATACCTGACACATTGAATTAAATCCTTTTAACATCAGGGGAAAAACATATGCTCAGTACATTGACATTGTCCTTGTAGTTCCAGTCCATCCAATTAGATGAGGACAATAATGAGATATACATTTTGAAAAGAAGAAAAATAAATTATATATTTTTGGTTACTATTACTGTTTACCCCCCAAAAGAAAAACAACTAGAAAGTATTAAAATTATTAAAAGGGATCATTATAAAATAAGCATTTAAAATTCAATAGCTTTCCTTTTAGCAAAAGCAAGCTGGAAGATATAATTAAATAGGAATGAACATTTTTAAAACATAAAAATATATAGAGCATTTAACAACTAAAAAAAAATGTTATGAGGGGGATTAAAAAGTCAACATTAAGTCATTACGCAAATTTGTTATATTATTCTCTGATTTTCTGATCATTTGAGGCATTTCATAAAAAATAAGTCTCTTGCTGAAGTGGATGGATGGAAGATAGATGGATAGAGTGATAAATAGACAAATATTGGGTAAAACTTAATTTAATAGTTAAATTTTGAATTATATTAATATTTGGATTTCTGCAATTCACTAATGCAATCATAAAGTCTAAAGGTTAATGAAATTTTTGTTAAGATGTTCACACATTGCAGCAAGACCTTCCTTGTGATATATTTCTAATATTTAGAGAAAAGGAGGGTAAAACTACAAATATGTAAAAGATCAAAACTTAGAATTAATAAACGTAAAGATTTGACATATTTCTGTGGCTATTTTGTAAATAAAACATTATACACAAATCTGAAATTCGTTAATATTCTCCTCTAATTCCATTCCTTCTCCAGTCCTCCCCAGAGCCAACCACTCTTTTGACATTTTTTGGTTTCCTTATCAAACATGTTTTAATACTGCTCCTATATATATGATATTATATTACATCCTTAAGTTAATAAAGTACATTCACAAGAAACCTACAGCCAACATTATACTTACTGGTGAAACACTGAATGATTTTTCCCTAAGATCAGAACCAAAATAAGGATGTTCTGCTCTCACCAATCCTGTTCAAAATCATACTGAAGGTCATAGCTTCAGTAGGCAAGAAGGCAACAAAAAGAAATAAAAGGCATCCATATTGGAAAATTCAAAATAAAACTGGCACTATTTATGAACAATAGGATTATCATGTAGAAAATCCTAAGGAATCCACTAAAATGCTGCTAGAACTAACAAGCACAAAGAATGCAAAGTCAATATGAAAAAAACCGTATCTTATATATAGTAACAATGAACAATTGCAAATTCAAATAAAACTGTATCATTTACATTAATTAGACATAAATCCAACTAAATATGGACTATATGCTGAAAATTACAAAACCAATGGTAGGAAAAATTAAAGAATACCTTTAGATGTCCGCCTTTGTAACCTACTTAAAAAGATTATGTTCTTATACACCTTGAAGCATAAAGCAGAGCAAGAAATGGAAATTTTACCCTGTGAGTGTTCTACTTGGGAGAGAAGCAGAAAGAAAACTTAAAAACTGGATTCAAGAAAGCAGAAGAATAGTTAACTTGAATCAAGTCATCTCTCTTCTATATTTCTTTAAAAAAAAAAAGAATACCTACATAAGTAGAAAAATATGCCATGCTCATAGGTTGAAAGACATAATGTTGTTAAGATTCAATATTCTTTAAATGTCAGCTTCTTCAAACTGATAGATCTAATATAGATTTTGGACTCAATATAGATTCAATACATTTCCAATCAAAATTCCAGCAAGATTTCTTTATAGAAATCAGCACACTAATTCTGAAATTTATATGGAAAGCCAAGGAATTAGAAAAGTCAAAACAATTTTGAAAAAAGAATAACATTTGAAGACTTATATTACCTGATATCAAGACTATAAAGCCACATATATACATATATTTGCAACAAAAAAGACTTCAGAAATAGACCCACTAATACATAGTTCAATCGATTTTTTTTTTTTTTTTTTTTGAGATGGAGTCTCACTCTGTCTCCCAGGCTGGAGTGCAGTGGCACGATCTCAACTCACTGCAACCTCTGCCTCCCAGGTTCAAGCAATTCTCCCGCCTCAGCCTCCCAAGCAGCTGGGATTACAGGTGCGCACCACCACACCCAGCTAATTTTTGTATTATTAGTAGAGACAGTGTTTTACCATGTTGGCCAGGCTGGTCTCGAACTCCTGACCTGAAGTGATCTGCCTGCCTTGGCCTCCCAAAGTGCTGGGATTACAGGCATAAACCATCGTGCCCAGCCTCAATTGATTTTTGACAATTGATTTTGACAAAAATGCAAAACTAATTGTTAGATAAAGGATAATATTTTTTAAAAATTGTGTTGGAAAAACTGGATATACACATGCAAAAAAATATAAACTTCCTTTCCTACCTCACACCATATACAAAAATTAAATCCAAACGGATGACAGACATAAAAGTAAAACCTGAAACCAGAGAAAACATCCATAGGAAAAAAAATGAAATATCAAAAGCATAAAATATTATAAGAAAAGTTAACAAATTGAACTTTATCAAAATCAAAAAATTCTTCTCTCTGAAGGTGCTTATAATAAAACAACAAACCACAAACCAAGAAAAAAATCTATGCAAATTATGTATCTGATAAAGGACTTGTATCCAGAATATATAAACAACTCTCAAAACTCAGTAAGAAGACAAACAATCCAATAAAAATGGGCAAAACTCTGAACAAATACTTCACAGATGAAAATATACATATGGCAAATATGCACATGAAAAGGTGTTCAAGATCATTAGTAATTAGGGAAAGGTAAATTAAAATTATGAGATACTACTACATACCTATTTGAATAGCTTTAAAAAAAAATAAACTGACATTACCAGTTCCTGATGTGGGTGCAGAAAATCTAGAATCCTCATACATTATTGGTGGGAATGCAAATTGTTATAACCTCTTTGGAAGGTGTTTGGAAGTTTCTAATAAATTAAACATACACGAACCATATGACCCAGAAATTCAGCTCCTGGACACTTATCTACATGAAATAAAAATTTATGTTCACACAAAAACCTATATATGAATATTTGTAGTATATTTATTCAAAATTGCTAAAAGCAATTTATATGTCCCTTGGCTAGGAAATGGGCAAAAAAGATTGTGGAACCTCCATTCAATAAAATACTGCTCAATGAAAAAAGAAAAGCAACTCCTGATACATGTAATGACATAGATGAATCTCAGATGTGTCATGCTGAGTGTGAGATGCTACACTCAAAAAGCTACTACATATACTTAAAAACTTAATTTACAAGGCATTCTGGAAAAGTCAAAACTACTGAGACAGAAAACAGATCAGTTGTTACTAGGGCCTGGGGTTGGGAGGAAAGATTGACCACAAAGCATGGCATGGGAAATTTGTGGGAGTGTTGGAACTGTTCTGTATCTTGATTGTAATGGTGGTGGTTACACAACTGTACATATCTTTGCCAAATCTTGCAGGACTGTATAAAAAAAGGGTGTGTCACTGTAGGTAAATTATAATTAAAAGTTAAAAAAAACTCATTTCATTTTCATACTGTCCTATTCAAGTTTTATGTTTTCTCTTCCATTTTCTCTTTAACATTTTCAAAATATTTATGTTAAAATCTCTTCACATAGTTTTATGATTTCTACTTCTTGAGATATTTTATCTTCAGCAATGAGTCAAGTCCTATGTTGTGGTTTACCAGCAAGTGTAGTCAGTGTGAATTTGAGCTCTGTGATGGCTAATTTTATGTGTCTACATGACTGAGCTAAGATGCCTAGATAGCTAATAAAACATTATTTCTGGGTGTGTCTGTGAGGGTATTTCTGGAAGAGATTAGCATTTGAATCAGTAGACTAAGCATGAAAGATCCACCCTAATCAATATGGGGAGGCATCATCCAATCCATCCAGCATCCAAATTGAATGAAATGGTATTGGAAGGGCAAAGTCTCTTTCTTCTTGAGCTGGAATATCCATCTTATTCTGCCCTAAGGCATTAGAGTTCCTGGTTCTCTGAACTTGGTACTTTGAGACACAGACCGATACCACCTCCACCTACTTCCACCTCTTCCCAGACCTTCAACTCCCCTGGTTCTCAGGCCTTCAGATTTGAACTGAATTACCCCACCAATTTCCCGGTTCCCTGGTGTACAAACAGCATATTGCGGGAATTCACAGCCTCTTTAGTTCTAATTCCCATAATAAGCCTCTTCTATAGCATATGTATTATATTTCTCTGGAGAACCCTGATTAATACAAACCCCATATTTATGCAAAACACAGATTGGGGTTGCACATTCTAGCTCCTAATTTTTCCAACCCAAGATACCTGAAAATACCAATTTCTTCCTATTGCTCCCAGTCTAGCAAACAGAGGGAATTTTTCCCTATTCCCACTTTCCTGAACATAGCAACCCTTACTAGCTCAGTTTCAGTACCCCAATTTGCATGGATCCAATTCCTTATCACCTTCACACATAGCCTCAAGGGTCTGAGACCCCCATGAACCACCCAGCTTCAGTGGTGGCTCACTACTCTGTCTAATTTCAGTCTTTGTTTCTGGCACCAAAGCTTTCCATTTATTGGATTCACATTCAAATATACATTTAAATAATTTTACATTTTTCTAGAATTTCTCTCTTTTTGTGTCCAGAAAGTGATTGGGTGGTATTTTATCTGCTAAGCCTGCCATCTTGACAAAGTCTCACAGCAATATTTCTTAATATAATTCTAATATCACTTCATTATGTTCATACACAAAAAGTGAGTTGGAACATTAAGGTAATTGCTTGGACATTTTGACAAAGAAATGTTTGCCTTAATTTTGTCTTTAATTGGTGATCATATGACTTCAATCTATAAATATTTTGTGGTTTAATAAAAATTTTGTTGTTTTCATAGTGACTGATGATATATTATTTTTAATACATTAGTAATCCACTAGGCAGATTCAAGATCAAATCAATAAAGTGCCACTGATATAATCAATAAACAACTAGGACCTCTTTGTAACTCAGAGCTTAAGAAAATCTGAAAGATAAGCTGAGATGTATAAAGTATTCATATAATAAATGCATTTTTATTTGTTTTAGATAATTCAAACTTGTAAATAGATTCATCCAATTTTAAATAGAAATGATTTAAAACAATGTTTATCTCCTGTTTGTTTTATTATTTTAAGAAAAATATATCTGAAATTAATAATGAATGGCCAAAGGACAGATAAGCTAATAATATTGTATAATAGATCATTCGATTTAGAACATCTAACTGGAAAAGCTGGAAATGAGAAGTTTAAAGTTCAAGGAGGTCTGAAATCTAACAAGCTTAATCAAAGGAAAAGATGTGAAATGTTCACAAAAAGGAGTCTGCAAAGCCACACACAGAAAGATTCTGCTAGTGTTGGAAAAGAATGGCAACTTTTTCCTATTAAGAAAAAATAAAAATAGGTCACATTGTTGACCTTGGCCATCCTCTGGCATAGTCATGTCACAGTCTTAACACAGAGCATAACACAAATGGCCAAAGACTCTCAACATGTGAGAACAATTTCTGAAAAGGGGGTAGGAAATCAATTCATACTAATTTTAACTCCCTCTTGTTTCTGCAAAGGCTTATCTTGATTTCTTCGTGAACTTTAACACTCTTAGTCTCCTTGACACAGTTCAGTCTTTATACAGTTCCCCTTAGACTACAAAAGAGATCACTGGACCATAGACAGTGCAACAGATAAACATGACCTGTCTTGTACTGAAAATGAGTATGTCATACTGAGCTGAAAGAAAAGAATTATTCAGGGTAAATATTGTCCAGATGATAGGACCAGATCACAGGCAGAAATACATTAACGTTTGCCTTTCAAAATGGCACAGCAACTTTTTATACTTATCATCAAAAAGATCATCAGAAAACAGCCCTAAGCCTAATATTGAAGTAAATCTCACTCCAGTGTCACTTGTCTAGTGTTACAGTAGAGCTCACACATATGGAAGCAATCATTCAATCAATTAAAGAGAAGAACTCATTAAATAAAAACTTTTGTCCATTTTTTGCTGAGCACTATTGTGAAAATGAGAGAAGTATATCTTACATTTCAATAATACTTCGTTGTTTAGAAAATACTTTGATAGCTGTTCACATGGGAAAAGACTCAGTATGTAATCTGTTCCTCTTATTTTCCCATTATGATAGTCACACACAGACATACACACACACACACACACACACACACACACATGCACACACACAATTAAACAAAAGTAGAGAACACAAACCATATGTTAAGTTTATGAAGAGTTGGGAATAGGAATTTTATGAATTCCCATGTCCATAGGGATAGATGGGAAAAAAAGACATACTTGAATATTCCAAAATTCACTTCCTGAAAGAGAATGTCAAGAATTGCTTTAAACAAAAAAAAAACTTTAATCTACATCCTATCCTTTGCCTCTAATGTGAACAGATTCTATATTTATCAGTGAACCCATGAGCAGTCTTCAGCTATAAGAGGCAAACCCTCTGAGTGTACCAAATTTTGCTAGTAATTCTCCCCACCATCAGTACCTTTACTTACACATCCATTTAGGAAATTAAGTTTTAAATATTCACTATGATTTTATATCGTAATGTGGTAGCAGTTACATTATTTGTGTGTATTTGCCAAACTCATGGAACTACACTAAAAAAAAGGTAAATATTACTCCATGTAAATTATATTTTAGAAAAAAAAAAAGCGAAAAAGTGGTAACAGGTGGAGGCACTGTCGTGAAGAATCTGGATATAGTTACCCAGGGAAAAGCATTACAAATAGTTGTTTGGACAGATGAATGCTGGTGGGCTAACAAAGTCTAAGGGAAGTAGAGTTTACTCACCCTGTAGCATTTACCGAACCAGGGTCCAAAGAATGTTCATAGACATATAACATTCATGTGTTAGTTCACAGACATTAACATTACTGTTAGTGAACTATTCCCTAGTCTCCTAGTCTAGGTTAGACATCTTAAAAATATCTGATTTTGGCCGGGTGTGGTAGCTCACGCCTGTAATCCCCAGCACTTTGGGAGGCCGAGGCAGGCGGATCACGAGGTCTAGATCGAGACTATCCTGGCCAACATGGTGAAACCCCGTCTCTACTAAAAATACAAAAAAAAAAAAAAAAATTATCTGGGCGTGGTGGCGCACTCCTGTAGTGCCAGCTACTCAGGAGGCTGAGACAGGAGAGTTGCTTGAACTCGGGAGGCGGAGGTTGCAGTGAGCCGAGATCGCGCCACTGCACTCCAGCCTGGCGACAGCATGAGACTCCAACTCAAAAAAAAAAAAAAAATTTGATTTGTAAAGACAAGGCCCAATGTCTTTATTATTTTATCTTCAAGCATCTAGAAGAGTGGTACATTAAAACATATATATCAAAAGCACAGATATATGAATAAACAGGAGATTAATAATAGATAGTTGTATAATCCTAAATTTCTGTCAAAAAACGAAGGTATCAGTCTAGTTTAGGGTGGCAATAATTAGTAGTTAAGTAAAAGTTTATGAAGAGAAGATATTAGGTACCCTGTAACAGCATGTTTTCAATCAGAAGCTAATGGATTCAGTGTTGCCTCAGTAATTACTGCTTTGAGGAGAAATCGTTCTAGAAATCCTCTGTGTTCCATACCATCTCTAATTTTGAAAGCCTGATTAATAGATAGTTTTATGGAGAAATGAGCATTAAAGAATGGGTTGAATTTGAACAGTAAGAAAGAAGGGCATTCCAGAGTAGGGAACATGTACCAAGGTATGACTATCTCAGTTGTTTTACAGTGAAAGAGAAATAAATCAGTAAAGTTAAACATGAGAAATAATGAAAAACTCACAGACTGCTAACAGAATTCAGTGTTGTTTCTTTTTTTTTTTGAGACGGAGTCTCGCTCTGTCGCCCAGGCCGGACTGCGGACTGCAGTGGCGCAATCTCAGCTCACTGCAAGCTCCGCTTCCCGGGTTCACGCCATTCTCCTGCCTCAGCCTCCCGAGTAGCTGGGACTACAGGCGCCCGCCACCGCGCCCGGCTAATTTTTTGTATTTTTAGTAGAGACGGGGTTTCACCTTGTTAGCCAGGATGGTCTCGATCTCCTGACCTCATGATCCAGCCGCCTCGGCCTCCCAAAGTGCTGGGATTACAGGCGTGAGCCACCGCGCCCGGCCAGTGTTGTTTCTTTATGATCACTACATATTGACAACCTAGAGTGGAATAATAGTGTAGTAGTTAAATTCATGCTCTCTACAGCCAAAGTGCCTGCATTCTGATTTCATTTCTGACACCAATTCTCTTGGGTAAAGTTTTTCAACTCTTAGTACCTCGGTTTCCATGCCTAAAAAATAGGCACAATAAAAATACTGATCCTATGAAGTGGTTCTACTGGTTAAATAATTTAATACATGTAAATTACTTAGAAGAGTAACTGGTATATTTTAGTGTTCAGTAAATATTATCACTTAATTTAAGGCCACAAGACATTTCCTGGGAAGGTTAGATACATCTTTCAACATTTAGCAAAATTAAACTCAGTCTTTCCTAAGCCAGAATTATAACAACTTACTTCCACTTTAAGACAGGTTCCAGTACTGTAACACAATCTTATTTAGCTTAGTATGGTACTTAACATCATAAAAGTAAAAGGAAGACTCTAACTCCTCTGAGTATACTCCATGCATTCCCATTGATGGCATTTAAGAATCCCAAGTACAGTTACATTAGAATTAAATTGTGCTAAGCAATGGGTGTGCTAAGCAATGGGTAGCTCCTGAAAGCAATATATCTCTAGAAAAAGCCATGTCCCTGCTCTGCTTTAAAAAAAAAAAAAAGTAGCAAAAACTGTTTTAAAATGCTAAAAACTTCATTTAAATCGCATTGCACATGAGCCATTGGCTTTGTTTGTTGCCTTGAACTAGATTCATTCAAAGAAGTAACTGAAATATTAATTTGATCTGTGATTTGGAAAATGTTTCTCAATAAAAATATTCAAAAGCCTGACTGCTTCTCAGCTCTCAGATGAATTAAGTTTTAACTCTGACATGAATTGAACCTCTCTCTGGGGATGCTTCTCTTTAGGGGGCTGAGATCACAGAGTTCATCCTTATGGCACTAGCAGCTCTTTGATTTTTGTCAGGAGGCCTGCCACCAGAGCGCAATGCATAGCAACATCAGGGTATGTCTCCCATGTTCCCTAATGAAAAGCTAGCCTGGAGACAGGGGCAGGTTGGAGGGTAAATTTCAAAGAGGGGAAAGGTCAGTTCTTGGTCAAAGTATGAAGAGCTTATGAAAGAAAGAAAACTTCGAAAATAAAGCATTAACATAAATTACTGAAAACAGCCTTTCAAGTCTTATAGAAAAAGATGAAGCAATGCTACCATGATAAAGGCTCCCCTTTTTAAAGGATGTCTCCATCTTTGTCCTCTTCTTATTACTTCAGAAAATTATCAGAAATGTCGATGGATGCTTCTATTTGAGTTTCTTAAAGAAAACTTTATGGTCATTGAAATTTAAAAGATCCCACCTCTTTAAATCAGAAAGGTGTAAGGTCATGGTTAGCTTTCTGGGAAGAAAATAAAATCTGTAACTTTGCCAGGAGAACAGCCTTTACTAATGGAGAGGGAAATGGTAAAATTGACATAACATTATAACATAAACTGTGTAAGTTTAAAGAGATAGGGACATCCATCAGTGTCAATAATCTGGTAAATTTAATGATCTATAAGTAAACTAGGTAATTATTTTTCCAAAATGAAGGTTTTTGGGGACCTAAAACATCTACTGTCTACACAGTTCAAAGGAATAAAATAACTGGCCAATCTCCATTTCCACTACTGATCCACTGGAATGAATAACAGAAGAACAAAAATACTCTGAAAGATCGAGAAACAAAAACTCAGCTAGGCATAAGGAATATGGCAAATACTTCAGGTCTTTGCAGGCAAGAAGTCAATACCAGCCGTTCCCAAATTATTGAGTTTTGGTCTCAGGGCCCCCTTGGACTCATAAAAATTATTAAAGATCCCAAAGACCATTTGTTTATATGGATTATATCTTTCAATATTTGCTATTTTACAAATTAAACCTGAAAAAAAAACATTTTTTAGTTCACTTTGCAAAAAACAATAAACTCATTATATGTTAACATAAACAACATTGATTTTTATCAAAAATTCCTATATTTTCCCAAACAAAAAAAATTAATGAGAATGACATTATCTTACACTTTTGAAAATCGCTTTTAATGTCTAGTTTAGTAAAGACAGCTGAATTTTGTTTCTGTATTCAATTTGTTGTGATATCTTCCCTGTGATTAAAAATATCAAGAAAATATGTTCTTATACAGAAATTTAATAGGAAAGGGAAAAAGTATTTTAATAGTCTTTTCAGACAAATTTAGGTGTTCTTCTTTGGTACTACAATGATACATGACAAGTGGCAGTTTCTGTAAGGTTAGTTGCAATGTGGACTCTGAGATCATATCAGTGAATTTTCCATACACTGTTATATTGAAATGAATGGGTCAATGTTAAATTTTGAATGGCTCTTTCACCCATCTATGATTTATATCATCATGCACTAGTCGTTTGGAAAATAATGGCTCACTGAGTTATGTAGATCCTCCATTACAAAATACATTTTAAAAATCACATTGATTAATATCACCACCAATCTCAATAGAAAATAACTATTGAGAAGCTGTCAAGCTCACAGTAGTGGATACAAATTTTCCAAAAACTTATTTTTTCTCGAAAGCTCAAATTTTATTATTGGCAACAAATACTGTGAGTTGTTTTCCTTGAAGCAATAGTTTCATTTCATTCATTATCAAGAAAAAATATTGCCAAATATCCAATTCTACATCATCACAGTTTGTCAGTCATTCTTTCAAATAAAAATGATATGCCGTGAAAAAAGATGTCTAGTTCAGCTCATTTCTCAAATAACTGTATAAGTGCTTTTTCTCAAGGCTTACTCTGTTTGAGTGTGCAGCAAAAGTGCTTTATGAGTACTTCCTGTCTTGTCACACAGAATATTGAAAAACTAGTACTCAAGCATCCAGATTTAATCAAAATAATAAGTGTTACTTTTTCATCAAGAACATTCTATGTGAAACTGCTTTTCTTTCTTTTTTACTGTGAGTCCACTTTGGTACTACTGCCTGGATTTATGCTAAGGTGCCAGCACTTTTACCCACCATTGCTTTTGCACCATCAGTGCAAATGTCAACACAAAGAAATAAGCAAAGTGCACTCAGTCTTCTGTATCTATTGGTTCTGCATCACAAGATTTCAACCAATCATGGATTGAAAATATTTGGAAAAAACAATACAAGAATAACAAATAATACAAATAAAAACAATACAGTGCAACAACTATTTATAAAACATTTACATTGCATTAGGTATTATAAGTAACCTAGAGCATACGGGTGATGTGCATAAGTTATATGCAAATACTATGCCATTTTATACAAGGGACTTAAACATCCAACAGATTTTCATATCCTTGGGGGATAAGGAGACAGAGTTGAGGATGGGGGTGTCCTGGAACCAATCTCTTGCAGAAACCGAGGGATGACTATAATGCCTTAGTGTTATTATAAAAATATTTTTCAGTTCACATACTCCCTGAAATGGTTCTGTAGACATCCAGAGATCCACAGACCATATTCTGAAAACTGACAAAATAAAGAAGAGTTGGTTAACGCCCAAGGAATAAGCAAGAACTGTGAGAGTCTGAGTAAGAAGCAGGGCCAATCTCTGACCAGAGCCAAGGGCTCCTCTAATGATTGCACTTGTAAATTAGAAGGGAAATCTCTGTACTATAGGTATTGGTCATATCCTGAAGGAAGTCAAACATGCGCAGTCAACCTTTTTTAAACTCATGTCTTGAGGAGAATATAGAGAATTGGTTACAACTGATTGGATACAACTGTATTCACAAGGTTAAGAATAATTTCAGTCAAAATTAGAACAGGAAGTCTCTAGACTTTAGAAGTAATGTCATCCAAAAAAGAGAAAGATTGTTATTATTATACTATTTTTTATTATATTTTTTCCAATATTTTTGAAAGATTCTAAGATGTATAAGTCCCTTGTATAAAATGGCATGGTATTTGCATATAACCTATGTAGATCCCCCATATGTTTTAAATTATCTCTAGATTATTTATAATACCTAATGAAATGTAAATGCTATATAAATAGTTGTTGCACCATATTGTTTTCATTTTTTTTCCTGTTGTACTTTTTTTATTATATTTTTTCCAAAAATTTTGGAAAGATTCATTCAATAGGTAGAATGAGTAAAAAGCTAGGGATATGATCAAATGGCTAATGTGTTGCTTACCTTAACAAGGAAAGAAAGATGAATCCAGATATAAAAGAAAAACAAAAACCAGACAAGAAATTCTGATCCAAATAAGAAGCAAATTCAGTAAGGCATGATTTTGAGTCATTGATGGAAAGAAAAAATAGATAATCGATTTTGTCTGATGCCAGGAAATTTCTCCTTTGAGTTGCTCAGGGATTTTGACTCTGGATTTGTAGAGAAGGAAATATTTACATAGTTATAATGATAACTAGATCTAGATATAATTAGCCAATAGACAAGATTTCAATATGGCTTCAGAAAAACATGTAAATATTACCAATATTGGAGATGCCAAGCAGAAAAGATGGGAAGAAATGGTAGAAGGCCTAAGAATATCCTCAGTGATGGGGAGTTGAGAGATGCAATAAGATCAATAAGAAACACAGGGAAACTACTATGCATTGAAGTGACGGATTATTTTAAGTTACAAAGTTAAAGTTAAAAGACATTTTTTAAATCATGCAACTGTCTTAAATTGGGAAACATAAGAGGGACAGGTATTGTGAATGAGCTAAATTTTTTTAGATATGCTGAGTCAATAGATAATGCTTAAATGTGTTAAATCAAGAAACTGGGATGCAGGCCAGGCATAGTGGCTCACACCTGTAATCCCGGCAGTTTGGGAAGCTGAAGTGGACAGATCGCTTGAGCTCAGCAGTTTGAGACCAGCCTGGGCAACATGGTGAAACACCGTCTCTACAAAAATTAGCCAGGCAATGGTGGGGTGCGCCTGTGGTCCCAGCTACTCAGGAGGCTGAAGTGGGTGGGAGTCAGGCTTGAGTTCCGAAGGCAGAGGTTGCAGTGAACCAAGACCGCACTACTGCACTCCAGACTGGATGACAGAGGAAGACACTCAAAAAGAAAAAAAAAAGAAAAAAAAGGAGGAAAAAAGAAAGAAATTAGGATATAAATTGTATTAGTCAAACAGCTTTAATATTTGATAACTATTATGACATAGACACATAATGATCAGAACACAAGTCTATATTCAGAATGGATGCTGACTGGGACATACTGGCTACATATCACCTCTGTTTTTAAAAAAGAATTAGGGAAGTAATAACTGAAGGAAATAAAGACAGGAACAAGCCAAAAGGTGGGCAGGGTTGAGCGGAACTGTTGCTTTTTATTAAAAGCCTTTCTGCCCTGTTTTAATTGTTACTATATGCAAGTATTACTATGATAAGTAATCGTAAATTATGAGTATCATGTTTCCACCCTATCCATAATTAGCACTGTTTAAAAACTATGCTACTATTCTCTTTAAAGTATATAAGCAATTGATATCTAATACAATCAATCAATAAAATGTGAAGGTAAATGTTTCCTTGATTTAGTAGCAGTTTTTAAAAATCTCTATTGTATTTTCACATATATTCTCAAAAATATATGAAGGAATTACTTCGAGTGTTAATCTGGGAGATAATTTATAATTTTAATTTCTTTCCCATGATGACAGGGAAACAATGGAAAACAGCCTAAAACATATAGGTTATCTCTAGGGCACATTTCTTTAAAGGTTATTAACATTTTTGAACAATAGGAGATTCTCCTACCAAAATTAAAGATTATATTGAGAATTTTATTTTACTTTAATGAACGGGCCTGATGAACCATAAGTTATATCTATATGGCACAGTTAACTACCCTTTCTGTTCTTCAGATCACCATGAGAATAAGAGACCTAAAATAATTACATGTTGTATTTTGAGGACATTGCTTCACTTGAATTTATGATTAGTACAATTAGTCACAGATACTGTTGGCTGCAACAAGTAAGTCTATGAAAAAGCGTCTTCCAAATAACACAGATGCCTTTGCTAAGGATTGTCTGATATTGGACTAATTCATTCTGAAGGTATCTGAAGTCAGTATGGATAGTTATCTGTACTGTAAGATCAAAATATAGACTTTACTTTCAATTTTCAGACATTCCAAAACCTAGAATTTTGTAGAATTGTGTGTATATTAATAAATATGAAAAAATTTATATCTACTGGACAGTTGTTACATTATAAGGTATAAGGGGGTGGGGGGATCTCAGAACACTTGGGTTCATTTGGAGGAGGACTTGACACAGAACAGTTTTAAAGGCACAGCCCATTTAGCCAAACACCTCCATCTTAAATCAACTTCGTCACTCTGTATAAGAATATCTTTGTGCAGTATTTTGGATCTTCAGGGTCAAATAGTATTTCAGGCCATATAATGCACTTCTTTTGTGTGTTTTAAACAATCAAATAGTAGTTCCTTCTTTGTTTGTGTTTACTACAAGTTTTGGTAGATCCTCTAGGCTATAAATATAATATTTATACATAGTTTGATAATACATATCAAAAACTGTAAAATTTCTACATGTATGCACGTAATGTTAACTTCATTAGAAATGGGAAAAAGTCTCACTAAAGTGAGCAATATTGAATTAATCAAATCAAATAGCTTTGTGTTTGTAGACTTAAGTCTACAACAGCCTAATAAAAGCAAAGATAATTCACAGCTTTATCTTTAATCAGATGGGTGAACTTTTGAGCCTATAAAATTTACATAAATATAAAAAATTTTGAAAGAATGTTACTGAAGCCTGTATGTTATTTTAAATACTGATTAAGTCTTGGGTTATATATCAAAACCATCAGTTGTAGCAAGCATATGTAGAAAGATAACAAAATTAGTTTTTAGAGTTAGTGTAAGTTTATTAGTTAAAGCAACAAAGTTACATAAATCATACATACTAAAACATTTCATCTGGAAGTATAAGGTAGTTAAAGTAGAGTCCTTAAGCACTTATGACACATTAAATACTTGTGTATTAAAAACTATTATAGCCAGTTAGTGGCTCATGCCTATAATCCCAGCATTTTGGGAGGTCGAGGTAGAAGGATCATCTTGAGGCCAGGAGTTTGAGACCAGCCTGAGCCATATAACAAGACTCCATCTCTACAAAAATTTAATACACACACACATGCACACACGCACACACGCACACACGCATGCACACACAATAAACCTCATTTCTACCTAAGAATGCAAATTTAATGCACTAGCTTTTCCCCCATGCATTCAATTATTTCTTCATCATTCATCCTATAAATATTTATTGAGCTCCCTGCTCTTAAACTATTGTAGAGAAGGCAGAGACATAAAATATATGGCCATAATACTGTGTGATAAGTACTCTTGGTTATTTACCAAGTTAGGCCACTTACAGAAACTAATAAGGTTAATTACAAAAGTCCCTCAATAATTTTACCTCTAAGGTAACTGGGTTTTTTAAAAAGCTCCCTGCATTAGCTTCATTATACTATAAAAGAAATGGCAAGTGAAAAACTCCAGAATTATTATATTTACATTAAGGAAAATCAGGCAAGATGCCTATCTTCTCAACTTCATATTCATTTAATGGACACCCATACTTCATTTTTTCTTCAGTTATAGAAATTCTTGAAAGGCATTATAACTAGATCATTTTAATAAGAGAAAAGACCATCATATAGAAAATGACTAAATTATTCTCAGCTTAGGATTTCACTATTTATTTATTCATTTATTTATTTATTTTTGCCTCAGGCTTTGGGGACATTAAGGCCATGTTATAAATCCTGGTCACTGCTTTTTCTAAAGAGCAAAAATGAGAGTTTATTAGCAGCTCAGTGGTTGCCCCAATAATGACAAAACAGTTGCTCATTACTGCTCATTAGTTTCATATTAGATTCATTTGCAATAGCAATATATCTTCTATTCATACTCGACTGCAAAACAACAGATATGATTTGACACCTGCTGTACAACAGAATTCATTAGATAGTAATAATACAAATAGAAATTCAGAAGCTGGACTTTTATTTGCTTCTGTGATGACTCTGTACAAGAAAATGCCTTTGAAATCATCTAGGCTAGAATAACATAAATATGCATAGCAGCTGATCAGGTTTTCAAATACTGAATTCTCTATTTTTCTATCTACAACAATGTTCTATATACATAATGTAATATTTTAATGAGTGGCATAATTTTCAAAATAATAAACCACTTCTTACTATACAGATGAAATGAAATATTAAATTAGAGAAGCAGATGGAATAAAAAAAGAAGCCCAAGACAGTTTTTGAACTGTAGGATAAACCGAACTATTTTTTCATACATTTCATACTTTTTTCATACATTTATGCCTTCATCCATGAAGAATAATCAGGTTTCAAAGTGTACCTAATCATTCCTCCTGATATTCAATTATGTTTGCTTACTTGAACAAATACTTGTGGCTATTTCCACATGTCATTGCATACAATGAAAGAAGAATGTTTAACTATTATTATTTTGTTTGGATTCATGCACCCTAAATCACCAAAATGCAGCCACAAATTCAAAATGAAATGACTGTTTCTGCTTTTCTGAGAGTTTTAGAAGGAAAATCTAATGTACTTTGTTTCATGTAAGAATTAATCTTCTGCATTTCTACGGAAAATAAAATATTAACTAGTCCTTTAAAATATATGAGTTGGCCCATTGTGGTGGCTCACACCTGTAATCCCAGCACTTTGGGAGGACAAGGCGGGCTGATCACTTGAGGTGAGGAGTTTGTGACCAGCCTGCCCAACTTAATGAAACCCCGTCTCTATTAAAAATACAAAAATTAGCCAGGCGTGGTGTCGCGCACCTATAAGCCCAGCTACTTGGGAGGCTGAGGCAGGAGAATCGCTTGAACCTGGGAGGCAGAGGTTGCAGTGAGCCGAGATCGCGCCACTGCACTCCAGCCTGGGCGACAGAATAAGACTCTGTCTCAATAATAATAAAAATAGTAGTAGTAATAATAATAATATGAGTCATTGGAGACTTTATTTTCTTCCATTCCACAACCTCTTTTTAGTTATCTACAATATTCCAGGGACTTTAAGATCATGATATTCATACCTTTGTGTGACTAGAATTTAACACCACTATCAATTCTGTCAGATTACAAATTACAAAGAATCTAAATAATGGTTGAATTCCTACCGTATTTCACAAACCTAGAACATGGTAGCAACTCAATAAATATTTATTAAATGAATTAATGAATGAGTGCTGTGAAAAATATAATAGAGAATAATATCTGCTCTTTGTTGTATATAATTCTGGTGAGGAAGTAAATCTCAAGAGATATTTAAAATAAAAGTAAAGGCTGGGCGTGGTGGTTCACGCCTGTAATCCCAGCACTTTGGGAGGCTGTGGCGGATCACCCGATGTCAGGAGTTCAAGACCAGCCTGGCTAACATTGTGAAACCCCATTTCCACTAAAAATATAAAAAATTAGCCAGGTATGGTGGCATGCACCTATAATCCCAGCTACTCGGGAGGCTGAGGCAGAATTGCTTGAACCCAGAAGGCAGAGGATGCAGTGAGCCAAGACCATGCCATTGCACTCCAGCTTGGGCAACAAGAGCGAAATTCCATCTCCAAAAAAAAAAGTAAAATCAGTATGTGTGAAGATAGGTAGTGGAGACCACACTTATTTTGAGAATGAAGAAAAATGGAGAGATCACCATAAGCTGAAACTGCAGAGGATTATTTTTTTTTAATCATATGGTTATATATCTTTATCCAAGCTCTAAAGGCTGAGCTGAATTTGCATAGGTGGAAGCTCAGAAACAAATATTTTAGGCGAGGGAAAAGAATTGGTCCAAATTTAAAGGTAGAAATGAGCATAGGAAATGTTGATGCTATCTTCAACAGGTGTTTTACAATATAAAGTTTGTAAATGTATTTTCACAGAAACAATGCCTCTTTTCAGACATTAGAATAATGCTGTTACAACTGTTAAAGCATGCTTCATTTTGTGTTTGGAAATTAATCTGCTAACATCACAAAATACATCATTTGCATGCAGACTTGTAGAAAGAAAATCAACACAGGGTCATGATGCCCATCAAGTAAATTCATGCCACTTATATACAATAGTGTTGGAAGTTAAATTGTCTAAAATTAGTTAATGATTCTAGTGTTAGTATGTACACTACAATTTAGGTAAATAAACTCAAATTCAAACAGGTATATTCTCAAAAAGTAAAATTTCCATCCTGATAATTGACCATAACAAACATATACATAAACTAAGCTTTACAATAATCAAAGCCTTAAGTAAATGTTACATTCTGTAACAGATATTTTGTACTAGAAAGCAGATCACAGGAGGGCTTATTGCCCTTCTTGCTTAAAAAAGAAAATCCAACCAGAAATTCAAATTTAAAATGACAAAATATGGGTTCCATATAATGTATCTTGACTGCTTACTATTATTTATTCCTTGGGTCTTCATAACAACTGACATAAAATCACATTGCAACATTTTTTTGTTTTTAAAACACCTGGCTTTAGCACCACCGGGAAAATTATTTTATGTTTTTTAAAATTCATGAATATGTATCAATATTATCTCTATTATTTACATTATCAGTTAATGTCTAATATAGAGTTTCCAGGGTTAGCGTATAAAAATATAAGATGCACAGTTAAATTTGAATTTCAGAAAACTGCAAATTATTTTTAGCATAATTATATTCCATGCAATATTTTGAGCATAGTTTGACTATAAAATTAGTTTATCTGAAATTTAACTGGATGTCCTCTACCTTTTCTGGCAATTTTAGCATAAAACAGTGCATTGCATTCTCAAAAGCAATTGTTTCTACAACCTTCTTTTCTTCTCATCATATACCATGGTGTCTTGTGGCCTGTGATTTCAGTTATAATTCTAATCCAGGCTGAATCAAGGCAGTTGGTATTTATACATTTTTCTCACACAAAATTATGTTTTCTAATAATTTACAAAATTTTAACTTTCTAATAATTGTTTACTATAACTTGTTTACTATAACTGTTAAATCTTGTCACTGAGGCCTTCCTATAGATTGAATTCTTAGTGTAATTTATACTTGCACTATTTAGAACAGATAGATACCATTCCTAATTCCAGACTGCCATTTTGCAAATATTAGGAAATGCTTTCTCTCTTTACTTTAATTCAAAGATTAATAGTTTTTGACTCTTTCTCAGAATCCTGTGTTTAATAGTAAGAATCAACTCTCTTCTTTTCTTCCTGCTCATTCTCAATCTCTTGCTCTTTTTTCTCTTTGTCTCTTTTTCTTTCACGCATACATACACGCATACAGCACACACACACAAACACACACATCCTGACCTACCACAACCTATGGGACTATAATATGCTTTTATAGTTCCTACCAAGGTAGTTCTTGAAGCCATAGAGGTACTAAGCCACTGTGTATTCTCTGAAGATGTGATATGATTTGTATGACTTTTCTAAAATGTATTACTGAGTGGTTCAGTGACTAAGTCTATTTCCTTCTTTCAGGACTTGTAAATGAGCCTCTTACCAAAAGCTTTTTATTAGAATGGCAATTGACTGTTTTCTAATCTGTTATTGCAATGATTTTAGCCTGTGAAACAAATCTAGGCATTATTCTGAAATAATGAGTGATGTTTGAAATAGAGAAGTTTAAACCTGAGCTTCAAGAAAAATAAAATAAATACATCCTTGGACAGCCATTTGTCATTTGTTTTGGATTTTGTTCATAAAATGGAATAATCTATTCCTTTAATATTCCTCAATAATGGTTAACTTTTTAAATTATGTCCTCTGCCAAAGAAAAGTATACTCAATACAAGGAATACAGATTTCCCTTTCATATATGTGGTAATTTTTCTCTACCTAACATTTTATCTGAGTACTTTCAATAAAACAGGCAAATAGGATAAATGTATTGTTTAGTGAAATATCAAAAAATCCTGAAGGTGATCAGGCATTATTGAGACATATACTAGTTCTTCCAGTATAGTGGAAAATCATTTGAAACTGTATTAAATAATCACCTATCAAATTCTCTGCAGTTACAGTGAATGTAGAGACTTACAGTCCAGTTAGCTGGTCATTATTCTACTTCCAGGGACCAGTTAGTGGCCCATTTACTCTAATTTCACACTTGAAAGGCAAAGAAATGTATAAACATTATGTTAACATTCATGCAATGAAGAAAGAAGGCTTGCAATTTTAATTATCATCTAGAAAATATTAAGTTTTGTCCAATATATTGTATTCTGCATGATATGACTATATAATTAGCCAGGTCAGCCTGTAGGGATTTATATGCAAAAACTATTTTGTCAGGAAACCATGTTTACACAGGGATTAAACAACATCTAAGAAGATAAAGATATTAACATTTAAAATATTATCTAAATAGATTGCTTTCTTCTAAAAATGTAGAATCTTCTGTGGTTACAAAAGTAATGCAAGCTCATAATGGAAAATTTCAAAATTATAGAAAGTGTGTAGATTAAAATGAAAATTTCTTACTCTAGCACTTTTTCAGATATCTCTTGCTTTTTGATACAGTTGTTTCTGGTCTTCTAAATATTGATATTTTTATAAAATTTGGATTATATGTTGCTTTTAATAATAAGATAATTAAAATTTAAAAGACAATGGGTAAAGTAAAAAATAAATGAGGCCTAACTGAAGAAATGTTGATGCAAAACAAATCTGTTGAAATGACATAAAAATGCAAGAAGAAGAAAAATATAAAACATATGTAAGATATATAAAAAGACATGGAAGAATTATTGAGAGGGTCAGTAAAAACATTCAGTGAGATAGGAGGTAAACATTTTCTCACTTTGGTAGGGTGTCTACTGTTAAAGCAAGGGCATTGATTGGGAAAGAATAGGATCATGTAAGTTGGAAGACCCAGATGAAGCTAGGGACATTAAACTCCTAAATTCGAATGAGTCTTCTTTGACAGTAGAAGAGACCTCCCCAGCCCTACTGGAGGGGATCTCTCCAACCTCAAGGGTAGTAGCCTCTCTAACCTCCTCTAAGGGGATTGCTGCTGCTTTGACTAAAGAAACTGAAATAGCCTCCCCTGAGGCAGATGGTAAGCAAGGCAATGCTGATTCTCCTAAGAACCCACCCCACCACCTCTCTTTGCTTCCAGACCTGTAGCTAGACTCATGTCCCAGCATCCCCCTAGAGGTAAGGTAAAAAGTATAACCCCTGAGGGTATGTGCTACCCTCCAGAAGAACTACTTGAGTTTTCTACTTTATACAGAGAGAAATCTGGGGGACATGTGTGGAAACTGGTATAAAGGGTGTGAGATAATAGTGAAAGGCAAATAATGTTGGATCAGGCGTATTGGCATAGAGTCACTGAGCAGAGATTCTGCATTTAATGTTAAAGCTTTGGCAGTTAGGAGGGATTTTAAAAGTTTGTTTGGTGGAAAGTGAAGAATGGACCAAAAGGTGGCCCACAGTGAGTAAATTAAAAATGCCAGACATGCCTTGGTTTGACTTAGTGGAAAGAATTCAAAGTCTTAGGGAGATTGGAATGTTAGAGTGGATTTACCATTTAAGATCCATTCACTTATATTGGAACGGTCTAGAAGACATACCACTGACCAATACTGTGAGGAAATAAATTTGTAAGTGAAGCCTCAGCATTCTTGAAAATCTTTGTGATCACTCTTCTCTGTGGAGCAGACCTCACAGTGGGAATTGAAGTCACTACATTAGAAAACCTAAATGCAATGGGAGTAATTGGATCCTGGATGCCAAGGGCCAAGAGGCAGGATTCAATCTCCAAGGCAAGGTGGGTATGGTTACTGTGAAGGACAGTAGAGTCAAAGCAACAATCAGAAGAGCTGGCCTTGAACTGACCTATGGCATTGGCTATTTAATTATGGGTGTTCCTAAAAGTGAAACAGAAAGGAAGCCTACTAAATTCTTACTTGACCTTTACGGACAGAAAAGTTCTAGGTCAAGTGAACAGAAGTCTAATTTGAGTCATAGAAATGGAGAGTCATGACCTCCCAATTCCTAGACAAGCCAGTTTACATACAGATCCAGAATCCTTCTAATGAGGGCAAGGCTGGGTCCCCTTGAGGAAGGACCCCAGTACATTGTCGAAAATGAATAATATTAATCTTTCTCTCAGCCTTCCCCAAAGACCTTTGGACTTTGACTGGAACTGACACCATCAATATTCTTCCTTCTCAGTTCTTTAGACTAAGACTGAAACTATACCATCAGTTCTCCTGCATCTTCTGTTTGCTAAATAGAGATCTTGGGACTTCTCAGCCTCCAAAATTAAATGAACCCATTTCTCATAATAAATCTCTCTCTCTCCCTCTCTCTCTCTCTCTCTCTCTCATATATATGTATGTACATATACACACTCATACATATGTGTGTTTATGTATGTATATGTAATTGATTCTTTTCTCTGGAAAATCGTGGCTAACAGAACGAATACAGTTGGCCCTTGAACAACACAGACTCAAGCTGCATAGGTCCACTTAACATGTGGATTTTCTTCCACCTCTTCCAGCCCGAGACAGCAAGAATAACCTCTCCTTTTCCTCCTCCTCCCCACCCTACATAACGTAAAGATGACAAGGATAAAGGCATATGACAATCTACTTCCACATAATAAATACTAAATATATTTTCCTCTTATAATTTTCTTAATAACATTTTCTCTGCTTACTTTATGTAAGAATACAATACATATTACATATAACATACAAAATATGTGTTAATCAACTGTTTATGTTATTGTGAAGGCTTCTGGTCAACATAAGCCTATTAGTAGTTAAGTTCTGGGGAAGTCAAAAGTTATACACAGATTTTCTACTGTGCAGGGAATCACTGTCCCTAACCCCCATATTGTTCAATGGTCAACTGTATGCCTATATTAAGAGAAAACTTTAAAATAAAATTTTAAAAAATCACTAAAGACAGCTACTGATAATAAAAGTTTTCGTAAATACAACATTTCTAAATGTATGTGCCTCCAAGAACATAACCTCATAACTCATAAAGCAATATGCTAAAATTACAAAGGGAAATAGAAAATCCACAATAATGCTGACTACTTTAACAAACTTGTCTCTGTAAATAACAGAAGAAGAAAAAATAAGAATGTAGTGTTTTGAACATAAAAACCACAAGAAAAAAACCTTTAAATAAACACTGAACATTTTTTAAAGAACTATAAGTTGTAACAAATTTCAATGAACTGAAATCATACAGAGCATGTTTTCTAATCAGAGTGAAACTAAACTAGAAATCAATTACAGTAGAATAACTAAAAACTCCTTTTGAATATTTCTTAAAAAGTCAATTACACTAGGGTCAAATAAGATCTATATAGTACATGACGCAAAGATGAACTTACAATAAAAAATTAGGAAATATTGTCAACTGATGAAAATACATAGTATCAAATTTAAGTTCATATTATAGAAAAAACAGGAAGATGAAAAGGAAGGAAGGAACGAAGAAAGGAAGCAGGAGAGGAAGAAAATTACAAAGGAAAACAGACAAATCCACAATAATAGCTACTGTTTATTTAACAGTAATTTAACAGTTTATTTAACAATAATGCCTAATGTCTATTTAAAGGTTTTTTTCCTGTGGTTAACAAACGTGAAGGAAGGAAGAAAAGAAGGAAGGCAGAAGGAAGGTAGGAAGGAAGGAAACTAACAATCTAAGCATCCAATTTATGTAGTTAGTAAAGAAAAAGAAAAAGGAATTACATCTCTCCCCAAAAAGCAGAAGGAATAAAATATAAATATAAAAGCAGATAATAAAATATAAAACAAGGATATTATACAGAAAGTGAGGAAATGGTTAATACATAATTCAATAGACTGGTTATATCTGATAAAGGAGGAAAGAGGATGTCTTAGTCAATTTGTGCTATAACAAAACACCAGAGACTGGGTAATTTAAGAAGAACACAGATTTATTTTCTCACTGTTCTAGAGGCTGAGAAGTCCAAGATCAAGGCACTGGAAAGTTTAGTTGTCTGATGAATGTTGCCCTCTGCTTTCCAGATGGCACCTTGTTGCTGCATCCCACAGAGAAGGAGGAATGTGGTATACTCACAGGGAGAAGGTAGAAGGTGATTCCCTCTGCCAACCCCTTTAATAAGGGCAACTAATTCCATTCACAAGGAAGGAGCTCTCATGGCCTAATGACCTCTTAAAGGCCTCGCCTTCTAATACTAGCCCATTGGCAACTCCTGAATTTTGTAGGGGACACTTTGAAATGGTAGCAGGGAATATCATTAGGGAAGTGTGCACTATTTTTACAGTCACTTCTCATTTCTTGTACTGAAAAAACAAATTCCATGATTAGGAAAATATAATCTGTGAATTTATTTAACTGGACATATGATATATCTTGCAGGTATATACATACATTGCTATATGTAGAGTAAAAAAAATAAACTAGTGTCTGAGAAAGCAACCTCTCAAGGTGTACCATGGAGCCTCTTCTACTTTCTTGTCTGTGAACCACTTGTACTGAATATCAGCCATGACCATGTGATATATAAACAAAGGGAAGCCACCAGTGCAATCTGTATAGTAAATTTTAATAAAGGTTGATGTCTTTATTTTTAATTTTAAAATAATACAATTGACAGATCTAGTATGTCTTCTAACCACTCAATCAATCATTTTGTTTTCACCCATGATGTTCACACCTTGCGTTGTATCCACATATTATTTAATTCCAATGACTTGATTTTCTACAGGGTCAGTTCTAATCACTAATGTTCTTTCTGTCATTCAACATATCAGACCAGTTCATTTTCACTTTATTCATACAGCTCATATTTTATTAAAATTGTGAAGAGTACAATACAGATGCTTAAGAAAAATTTTGTTTCCCATTTAGATATGATTCTTCTATTATCTTTAAGCCTACGCTTTACTTACATGAGAGCATACTTTCATTTATTCTCCATACTGTTTTTTTCTCCTACTTACCCATCCTTTAATGAGAATAAATATATGCAGGCCTATAGGTTGTAAATTGACAGGGTGAGTGTATATTCCAGTGTCCAATACTTAATGTCCACTAGGACACCACCAAAATTCTCCTCTCATACCTTAAGCTGAAGCACAATAGGTATGTACAGAACCTCCCCAAGTTTGTGGTGTCTAAAGACACTTAGTTGGTAAGCCTAGGGCAGGATTTATTTTTACTTATCTCCACTACCTGGCTCCTTTACAATGAGAAAGCAACTTGGTATATTAAATTGGAGAGCTTAGAGTCTCAAATCAGACTGTCTGGGTTCAAATCCCATCTTCACAACCTATTAGAGGTGTGACCTTGGGCAAATCACTTAATTTGTCATTGCCTTAGTTAGCACATTTCTAAAATAGAGATGATGATCATCTCTACCTCACAGCAGTATTATAATTTCATGACAAACAAGTATGAGCTCTTATTAATTTATGTTTAGATATACTTTTTACTAAAAATGCTGCATGAAAAAAATTTCTTTAGAGTACCAACTCCCTATTTTTTTTCTAATTCTGTTCTTATTTACTGCCAATTTAATATCAAGGGTTAGTGTCCCCTACTCACCCTTGGCTAGTTTACGTACTGTGAATTTCAACCACTCAATGGATAAGGGCAACTTAGCCTGTTGGTTAATTTTGCTCACCCCATCAGGGAAAAACCGTGACTCTTTTGGTTGGAATATAGGTCTCCATTGGAAAATCGGGGTATGCAGGGAGTTTCCTATCTCCTACCTGTCAGAGGCACAGGCATGCTTGTGATTGTTTCTTCTTCTGATCTTTCTGCACAGTTAATCCTTTCAGAGTCTGACAACTCTTTGTATCCCTCCCACCCCACAGCACTCCTTATCTATTAACAAACTGGGCTAATTGTTTGTTGTCTGCTCCCAACTCCATGGCAGCTAGAATAATATCTCTGCAAGGACAGGGAATTTTCTATATATGTTTACATAAGGACAGGGAATTTCCTCTATATGTTTACTTAAAACAGGGCCTGGCCCTGTGTAAGATTTCAAATAAATGCTTTTTAATATATTAACAACCTTACTTTTTAGTACAACTGTGACTCTACAAGTGTTCTGTTTTCAAAGGCATTTCAATGGGGAACTCCATCAGGTGAAACTAGCTGGCCTCCATACCTTGGAGGTCAGGTGCATTGTTTTTAGAACCAATCATTTGAACTTTCCCCAATGTATGACAATTTAAAAATATATATATTTAACAGCCCAGGGCATCTTTTTTTGGTAATGTCAGAGAAGACAATTGAAGTCACTGAATTTGCATTAAGAGCAGCAACTTTCCTTCAAATGATAGCTGCCCTAGGGCAAGGGCAAAACTTCAGCCATATTGGTTAGACAGAGATGAAAAACTGGATTGGTCACAGGCCCTGCTCTACATATATCATCCAGTGAAATTGGTTTTAGTTAGAAATATTAATGGCATTCCTTTTTTGGGTTTCCACCACTTCTTTTCAGTTCTAAAGTTCTGCCTCCATTTATGGTTGCTTCAACTGCCAGTCGGAAAGCTTCTATCCAAGGCTGTCAGCAGAAGACACTTGAACTGGAATTTCAATGAAGTATTGTAAATAATTATTTAGTATCATTCCTCTAATGAATCACATTAAATCAGGGAAGAAACACACAAGTTGTGTCTGGTGTGCTTTTCCTCTTTATGAATTTTTTTCCTTCCTAATAATAGTGCTTAAAATTTTAAGATGGTAAGAGATATATTCATGGTATTTACATTTTATTTTGTTATATTTTATTTTGTAAATTTTATTTTGACATTTTATTTTGCAAACACCAAGGTTAATACACAGGGAAAACCAAAAACAGTTCCATAAAATGAAATTATAATGGTTGAAATCTAGAGATTCTCATTGTTATGCCACAGTTTATGCTATTATCTGAACTAAATATCACTCTGTGAAAAACAGTATCTGGGTCTGCCATTTTTCAACAATTTTCTGATTTTCTAATATCAACTGGGTGGCTTATAATTCAATCCTCTTATGACACTAACTCTAGGATAGCATCAGATTCCCCAGATATAAGGGCTAAATCTCACATTAGGGCTCAAGACACACTGCCCCAAAATATGACTGTAGAACACCAGACACTGTTACTCCAAAATATATTTCTTTGGCATGTTTTGAGCTGGTTATTCTGA
Organism: Homo sapiens; assembly: GCF_000001405.40. Classification (NCBI taxonomy): domain Eukaryota; kingdom Metazoa; phylum Chordata; class Mammalia; order Primates; family Hominidae; genus Homo; species Homo sapiens. The sequence continues at coordinate 58,012,073 of NC_000002.12, forward strand.
GAAAAGGCAAACAAAAGAGTAGCTCTGAAATTTACAGTTTTTCAGGAGCAAAATTTACAGTAATCAGGAAGTCACCCTATATGGTCTAAAAAGGGGAGGCATGAATAATCCACCTTTGTTTAGCATATCATCAAGAAATAACCACAAAAATGGGCAACCAGCAGCCCTCAGGGCTGCTATGTCTATGGAGTAGCCATTCTTTTATTCCTTTACTTTCCTAATAAACTTGCTTTCACTTTATTCTATGGACTCGCCCTGAATTCTTTCTTGCATGAGATCCAAGAACCCTCTCTTGGGGTCTGGATTGGGACCCCTTTCCTGTAACATGAGCACCACCCTTTCAGCACTTCAATGTTTTGGAGCAACCAGAAGCTCCTCTAACATTATTGTTCAAGAGGTTTTTTTTAAGGCTTTATTTATCAGGCATGCTTAATTAAATCACTGTCATTGGCAATTGAACTCAATCTTCAGCCCTCTTCCCCTCTCCAGAGTTTGGGGGGATAGGGCTGAAAGTTCAAGCCCTCAAATTACTTCTGTGGCTTATTCTTCCCTTGAAACCATGTAAGGGCCTACCTGGACTACACTCGTTAGCATAAACTCAGGTATGTTAAGGGGGCTCATTATAAATAACAAAATACACACCAGACACTTAAGAAATTCCAAAGAATTTAGACACTCTGTGCCAGGTATAAAAAGGACAAAGACCAAATCTATTTTTCATTATAACACAGTGGAAAAATCATATTTACTCCAAGACATTTTACGTATTATATCTTAATAACACTAAATATTTTAGTTACCATTATGCAGCCAGGTTTTTCAATGAAAAATATAAAACGTAAAACTTTCAGTGTATTTTAGAGTGTTGAAAGCTTGACATGTCAATATCTGAAAATTCAAAGTTTTACAAATTGTAACTTGGAAGAAGGAGGCTTGTAAAGAAGAATTACCTTTCAAAAAAGAGCAACGTTTAAATTTTAGATATATTCTACTTTCTATGTTTTTATAAAAAAATTTAATTCCAGTTTTAGGTGAATAAAAAAATCAAGCAGCAAAAAACAAAAATCTATTGAAGTTTCTTCTTTAAATGCCAATATATTTTCATGATGAAACATGAAAATAGGTATAGCGTAAAAAGATCTTTAAATATCATAACCAAAATTTGATTATTACCAGTACATAACTTGTATGCATTTGCAGAAGGCATTTATGTAACTTCCATTCAAATTTATTTGTGTCTGTTATTTACACATCTACTAATGTCATCAAAATGCATAATGAGGCAGCAATGCAGAATATCCAGCTTTGTATAATATGTTTACACATTCTGACTGCTAATACGCTAGAAATAAGTCAAAATGCTCTATCAGTGGTAACTTTGTAAAGAACTTAATTTTTTGGTTATCTGAAATGTTTGAATCTGTAATTCCTTTTCTATATTTTTATAAATAAGTAATAATAAATTGCTAAAAAGTTTTTAAAAAACAGATATGATTCTTGCCTTAAAAAAGATACAGGGCCGGGCGCGGTGGCTCACGCCTGTAGTCCCAGCACTTTGGGAGGCCGAGGCGGGCGGATCACGAGGTCAGGAGATCGAGACCACGGTGAAACCCCGTCTCTACTAAAAATACAAAAAATTAGCCGGGCGCAGTGGCGGGCGCCTGTAGTCCCAGCTACTCGGGAGGCTGAGGCAGGAGAATGGCGTGAACCCGGAAGGCGGAGCTTGCAGTGAGCGGAGATCGCGCCACAGCACTCCCTCCTGGGCGACAGAACGAGACTCCGTCTCAAAAAAAAAAAAAAAAAAAAAAAAGATACAGTACCTTGCTCACTACAAACTGATTAAAATATTCATAATAATTTCATATTGGACTGCAAAATTTTGTTAATTTACTCAAATTTGCTTATGCTATAGGGTAATACTTTCATAATACTTTCAGGAGATAATAGAAATATCACCTAAATAATAATGATATCACAATGTTTCCACTTTCTCACAGCAGGGATTTAACAACAGCTATTTTTAGCAGAGACAATTCTTTGCTAATTGATTCATTTTTATCAGTTTTAAAATTGATACATGTATTAAAAATTGGTGCACCAACTCGGGAATATATTATATTGTAATCTGCTCTAGGTAGTCTGCCGTGCTATATTCCTAAGGAGATAAATTACCAAATCTGCATATTGTGCATTGGTCAAGAGTAATGTAAATTATCAATACTGTATGGTCAAAGATAACTCCACTTAATACAATGTCCTTTCTGCTACATTTAAATATCTGGCTAATTTCTTATTATGAGAGCAGATTCACTGATTACAATCTTTCAAGATATGGGGAAAAGATATTAAATAAAAACAGTTTCGTAAAACCAGTGATCAATTAGCTTCAGTGCAAGGGAAAATTTCATAATTCTTACCAGTTAAAACCAGGTATAGCCTTTACCCTTGCATTCTGCTTCAACAACTCAGGTTACCACTTCTGTTGAATAATCCAAAAGACCCATTTCACTCCTATACTGCTTGCACACTATGCAGCATTGCATTTCAGTTCACAAATATGCTTTGGGTACTTAGATATGCAAGACACTATGTTTGGTCCTGGGAATTCAAAGATGAATACGGCATGATTCTCGCCTTTGAAAAATTTATAGCCTAGTATGGGAAACTGACATTAAATTGAATGATACCACATTTTAGAACTTTTGTTAGTTTTATAAAAAAGAGACACATTAAAGGTAGTTGAGGTAAAAGAGTATTATTGTGTAGGTGTAGATCTGCAGTAGCCACCTAAAGACCCAGAACCAGGAAGGTATCAAGAAGGAACAGAACCCAAGTGGAAACTCTGCTTCTTTTTTTTAGGTTCTGCTAACACCTTGATTTTCCCTCAGTAAAATCCACTTCAGATTTCTGACCCTGAGAATTTTAAGATAATACATTTGTGCAATTTTAAGCTATAATTGGTAATTTGTTACAGGCACAATAGAGCACTAATACAGAAGTTATACAATCATTTTTTTTATCCTGGTAGTGGCTATATTCAAATTTTAGGAATATTTAGCTTATATTTCTCTGCCAAATCAAGAACACCTATTAAGTCCTCTTGTGTGGCTACATCAGAGATTTAACAAGCATTTAGCTTTTGCCATCATTTTTCATCTTAGGTTTGTTCATTTCCTTCTTCACTTGTTTGTGTGTTTGTTAAATTATTCCGCTTTTTAAATTCAACTAATTATTAATTAACATTGTTAATATGATGCAGTATAATGTTTGTTCTGGAGTCAAGCATGCTTGGCTATGAATCCTGGCCTTACTATTTCCTGGCTGTGGGACCATGGACAAATTATGCAGACTTTCTGATTCTATTGACCTTACATGGAAAATCGGTTGAGAATTCAATACCTATCTCATTATTATTTTATATTAAATTAAATGATGCATGAAAAGCATCTGGCACTTAGGCAATCACTCAATAAGCAAGAAATGTCATAATCTTCCCTTTCAAGAACTCTTTTTGACCTTTGCACTAAGTATTTAAATTGTTATCATACATATTTATGTGTATAAAAAATAAAATTTATTTAAGTGTTTTTATTGCTCACTTCAATGTTTCAGTTATTTTATTAAAATCCACTTTCATTTGACAAGAATTTTTTTTTGGCTAAAATTTTGAGAAAAAATATGGAGATGGTATGTTTTGTGAGCCATTGCACAGCATGGGAAAACATGTTGCCCTCAAATGTAAATGTTAGCTTAGCTAGGTATAGAATATTGGAAATTATTACATATGAAGTTCTTGATCTCTGTCTTCAGACATTTGATTTTTATACAGATCAATTCTGAGGCAAATTTGATTTTGTTTTTTTCTTATAGCTAGCTTTTTTTTTTGTAATCAAGTGAAGACATTTATTCACTCAGGTAAATTTCTTCAAATGTTTTCTTTGATGATTGGTTCTCTATCTCCTCCTTTTTCTTGTTCTAGAATTAATTCTGTGGACTCTTGAGTTACACTGCCTGGATCTACCACTTACAAATCTTTTATCTTGGGCAAGTTGCTTAAATTTTCTGTGCCTCAGTTTTCTAATCTATAAAATAGAGAGCATAATAATATCCATCTTACAGTTTTGTTATAAGGATAAAATTTGTTATTGTATGTAAAGGAGTAAAACTTGCCTAGCACATAAGTGTTCAAAAACTATTAATTATTATTGATAGTGTTTTAATTATACACTCTTGCAGAATGTCTAATTTGCAGATTCTCCATTGTATGTTTTAATTTAATTAATTATTTTTTTGAAATGGAGTCTTGCTCTGTCTCCCAGGCGGGAATGCAGTGGCGCAATCTTGGCTCACTGCAACCTCCGCCTCCCAGGTCTCAGCTTCAAGGATTCTCCTGCCTCAGCCTCCCGAGTAGCTGGGATTACAGGTGCACACCACCATACCCGGCTAAGTTTTGTATTTTTTTAATTAGTAGAGATGGGGATTCACCATGTTGGCCAGGCTGGTCTCAAAACTCTTGACCTCAGGTGATCTGCCCGCCTCAGCCTCCAAAAGTGCTGGGATTACAGCCGTGAGCCACCACCTGGCCATGTTTTAGTTTTAGAACAGTGTTTTGCATCTAAATGCAATCTTTTAAAAATTTCTAAATTGTTGCATTTTTATAGACAACGTGTTTTCTAGACTCTCGTGGAGAATATGAAGTAGAGATTTCTGAAAATTTGCTACTGTTTCTTGGAATAAATCTGTTTTTATTTATCCTCAAAAGACATTTGCTTTACCTCCTCACAATAGTTTTCATACCTGAAACTACCAAATACTTTCATTTGACTGGCGAATTTTCTGTTTGCTCAACTTTACGGAGTCTGACATTTTGTTTAGGGGAGTTGACATGAGAACAACAAGAAATTATAGGGGTTTCCTTTTCTAACTTTTAACTCTTGTCAAAAGGGGAAAAAAAAGTTTACTTTTTTTGTACCTTTATTTTATTAAATCTGGGAGTCCCAAGTGGCTGCAGTGAGCACTACGAGAATTTCTGGGGAGCAGTCACAGGATAGAAAACCCTCCACTTTGGTAAGAGGTGTCTTTTGACACAGTTGTTGAATAGCCCAAAGTAAGCTGAGCACCTGTCCCTACCTTTCCACCTGACGTGACTAATCTCCTTGGTAACCTGTTGTGATGTTGCCCACCTCAGCCAGTTGTCCTATTAGTGAATACTATTGCACCAGTAAAAGTCATTTTATTTGCTCTCCACTGACTACTCCAGGGAGCTCAATTCCCAGCTCTGTTCAAATATTAAATTTTGGAGAGGAGGCTCAAATTCTGCTCTCTTATTCCACAGGCAAACTTCCTCCATCATAACTGCCTAATCAGAGACTAGTTATTATGGTCCCCAATTTGATCCCATCCGCGCAGATTTTGTAGGGGCAATTTTCTCCGCTGGGGCCTCTTCATGGCCTTCTTTCCTGTTATCCAACACTGCTAATGATTTCTTTTTCACTTTTCCCACTATTTGCATTTCTCTGATCAATTCCTTGGCACTTAGGGAAAGAGCGTTAAATATATGTGCTCACATTACTATCCTAAAGTGGAAAGCTCCTATTTTTCTTTTTTATGGGAGATCTTTGCTTTCCCAAAGCACTGACATTAGTATATAATGAACCCAGATTTGAAGTATGTGATTAAATATGGAATAAATCTCTTTGAAAGGGAAGTCAGTTACCTTATTTCTTATTAATGATAGTAAAGCTAGTCTCTTAGATTTGTTGTTAAATCTCTGTTAAGCAAACAAACCAGATCACATGAATTTTCTTAAGCTGATACTTGATAATTACGTGAAAATATTCGTAGTACATACTGCATCATAATAGAGACAACAAATATGTAGAAGAAATCTCACTTGAATATTAGAAAATATATTTTATTTTCTTTCTTTATTTTTTGATACAGAGTCTTGCTCTGCCACGCAGGCTGGAGTACAGTGGCACGATCTCAGCTTACTGCAGCCTCTGCCTCCCAAGGTAAAAGCGATTCTCCTGCCTCAGCCCTGCCTTGTAGCTGGGATTACAGGTGCACGCCACCAATCCTGGCTAATTTTTGTATTTTTAGTAGAGACAGGGTTTCACCACGTTGGCCAAGCTGGTCTCGAACTCTTGACCTCAGGTGATCCACCTGCCTCGGCCTCTCAAAATGCTGAGATTACAGGCATTAGCCACCATGCCTGGCTGAAAATATATTTTAAAAACCAGAAGTTTTAGAACTATTAAATTTGGTCCAGTTCTGAAATGAGAGCAATTTTTAAATTTGGTTCATCGTACCTTGTTAATTCTAAAAGTTTCAATTTTGTGAATCATGTATGTGAGTGTTTGCCCATATTTTAAAACTAAAATTCCATTTGTAGCAGAGAATTTTAGATTCTTATGTTCCTCAAATTTATATTTCAAAAGTAGTTTTAAAATTTATAAATGTAATGTTGTAATATTGAATTATACCTTCTTTAAGTTATAATACTTCTATATCTGATATCCCCTCCAGGCTAGCTAAGAATACATCTGACTCCTCTAATTCCTCTGGATAAAAATAGTGACCACTGTGGAGAAATTACATCTAAACTTTGGTGTTGTTTATTTACCTTTATAGTAGCGATACAGTATGGCTAAGAACAAAACTCTGATTTTTTTTCTTGTAATTCTCTTCTCTGTGGGCTAGGCACACCTGACCACTTCCAATTATAAGGGTATAATGACAGGTTCTCTCTATTCTGCAGGTTTGTTCCATCTGCCTGAAATGCTTCTCCTGCCCCAGGACCTCAGCACTTCCCGGTTTACACCCTCACTGCATCCACATAACCTCTGCATATACATTAGTTATGTGTCCCCTTCTCTGATAAATTTCCCTGTACCACAAAGCTTAGCTTGTATTCCCTGAATATGCTTATCAATATTACAGAACTTTTTATACAATATTTTAGATGCATTTTTAAATGCTTTTCTTAGGAGATAAATAAATTGAACTCATAGCAAGCAAGGACTAGGTCTTCCTCAAATTTGTAACTACAATGCCAAGCATAACATCCAATTCTCAAAAAATATTTGTGGAATTAACTGCTGAATAATGTGACCACGTTAAACATTAGAACAATAAGGAGAAATTTTTACGTTGCTATCACAAAGTTGGCAACACTAAGAATACAAGTAACTATTAATACTTTAAGTGTCAGGGTAGTGCCTGCTTTAAGACTAATTAATAAGTATATCCGCTTTTTTTTAGGAAATTCAGCAGTGGTCCCATACATGTAAACATTATGCAATATTAACTTTAGCATTTAGCCATGACTCATATTGATACTAGCTTTTTATAGCAAATGAGATATAGACAAGTGAGACAATTGTCTAGGTAACTGCAGTGTATGATGAGAATAGAAAGCTTTGACCTAAATGATAGTAAGTATGTAACTTGATCCATCTTTGATTTTCAAATGCTACAGAAAAATAACTAGCATTCCAGTTATTTTAGAATTATTCAGACTTCCTGGCTTCTTAGTTCTGGTGTAAACTCTCCCTTTAAACAAGTGCTTTTTAATGTTTGCAGCACATCAAAATAACCTGTGTGATATTATTCACCAAGCTGAATTTCTGTAGATGACCAGAGCATCTAACTACTTCTCAGACAGTACTAGTTTCCTATTGCTCAGAGTAAAGAGTAAATAAATACTGCTTCAAGAAATGGAGTATTGATTAGATTACACAAAATTAAAGTAGAACAACTGGATGAACTAGAAAACTATAAACTTTCAACTTTTCAAACAATTCAAACTTTTTAGAAGGCGAATACAAATACACATATGAAACAAAAAAAGCACTTTAGGAATGGATTTAAAAGGAGCATTAAAAATAAAAATAAATCTAAAACAACGTGACATAACTACGAATAAACATATTAAAACATGTAGAAGGTCTACATGGAGAAAATGTTAAAATATTACTTAGGGACATTGCTTGAAATAGTAAAACACAGAATGCTAATTAAGTGACAATTAACAGATCTGGTCAACTAAAGTATGATGCTTCCATATAATCAAGTACTACCTACCCACTGAAAACAAAAGGATAGTTTATTTCTATGATATAAAACAATTGCCAAGATAAACTGTTTTGTTTTTAGAGACAGAGTCTTGCTCTGTTGTCCCGGCCTGGAGGGCAGTGGTGTGATAACAGCTCACTGCAGCCTCTTGGCCTCAAGCAATCCTCCCACCTCAGCCTCCTACCTAACTCTGACTACAGGTGTGTACCACCATGTCTGGCTAATTTTTTAATATTTTTAGAGACAGAGTCTCAATATGTTTTGAAGGCTGGTCTTGAACTCCTGGCCTCAAGCAGTCTTCCTGCCTCAGCCTCCCAAGTCACTGGGATTACAGGTGCAAAGCACCATGCCCTGCTAAGATATACTGTTAAGTGCCAAATGAAGGTTATTGTGCCAAGTATGCTACTATTTGTGTTAAAAGCAGAAAAATACATGTTCTATGTAAGTGTATGTACATAAACATTTGCATGTATTATATGCTTAAATATGAATGTCTCCAGACAGGCTCATAAGAAATTGTGGATGCTTCTGGGAAACAGAGCTGGCATGAGACACTTTCCATTGTATAACTTTTTGTACAACTGAACATTTTTTAAAGTGCACATATTATCTTTTTCTAAAATAATAAAGTAAAATCTCCAAGTTAATTCTGATACCTGGAACTAAAAGCCATTGGTCCAGTATAAAACATTTGGACCTTGATAAATCCACTGCATAGTATAGCACATGTTCTTAACCTTTATTGTGCCATAGACCCCTTTGATAGTCTAGGAGAGTGTTTGGACCCATTCTCTATAAGTTTTTGATGTTTTAAAAATGGATAAAACTAAAAATATACAATTATAAAAGAAACAAAGTATGTTAAAATTGGTTTTTAAATATTAGACCTGGCAGTAGGTCTAATATCAGCCAGACTTTTGTAATACTGATGAATATGAATGATATTTTGGAAGAGCTAAACAGCTCTATTGTGATATGAAAACATCTTCAACTACTTTTTGTGGGAAAAAATCACACATAATGCTAATCCTAATGATTTGCTATATAATTACAGGAAATGCTAAATTCCAGTACAAATGAGTGAAAAATTAAAATGTGATTTTTTTTTCCCTCCTTTCCAAGCTCACAGATTGTTCCTAACATCTAACCAGGGACCCACTGAGTGTGTATGGACTCCAAATTAAGCACTCTGTATAAGAATGCACTGGGCTTACATCCCTTCATATCCAAAATAAAAAATGTAATACAGACCTTTATCATAGAGGTTTCAAATTAGTATTAAAACATTACTTTAGAATTTTTCTTAATCCCAATTTATACGTATGCTTGGACTAAATATTTATTGTCTCCAAGATACTGCAGACAACAAATTAGCCAAAAATACTATGACCGTTTATCTGGGTTTATACTACCATGAAATAAAAATATATCTAATCACTCAGTGAATCCCTTCCATATAGACATCTGTTAATATTAATTCTATCTTTTCTTTGTAATAGAACTTTCCCTCTTTTCCCCACCCCACCCCCAAATCAGTGGATTGAATTTTCAGCATTTTCTTTATTTTTCTGTTATGCAAAGGACTCAGCCAGTAGCATCCCCCATACCTTTCCACATTATCACAATTGGCTACCGAAACCTACATCTTCATTCCATTTTATATAGTATTAACTTTGTAAGCCTGGAAAATATGATTGAAAGAAATTGTTCAAGTTCCAATGTCCCTGACTTTTAAACACTGTTTCTTCCTTTTGTCTCAACCATCAAAAGTGTTAATACTTCATACCCTGTTTAGGTTGTAAAATGTCCACTTGAAACCCTTAATCAGTCAGAACGTTGGTAAATTATACCTTCATGCTATCCATATTGAGTACCCATTACTCCTGGACATAGCACATTAACTGACTCATTAGCTATTTCAAACCATATGGACTTGGGTTTGGGTGGGTCATTTTGATAATATCCTGAGGTGAGTTTCCTAATTATTGCAATTATGTGATCTCAATCATGAGGTCAGGCTCACAAAATAGTGTCAGTGCCTTTAGAATGGGTGTCACTGCACCCAGACAATGACTGAGATGAGCAACATGCTCTTTGGTTGTTATAAGTCCCTTGATACTAAAGAAAGTAATTACTTGAAAAGTTCTGTGAAACCGCCAGGAACAGCCTGTGAATTGAGTGAGCATGGAATGCTATAATGCTTGACAGTCATGGATACATTGCCTAGAGTTCACAGTGGGAAAATGTGAATGCCACAGTGCTGATGCTACGTAGACATTATGTTTCTAATGTAAATTTTGTATAGTGTTTTAAGCAACAAGGCAGATTTTGTAAAAGTTGAGGGGAGTAGGAAAAGAGCAAATGTAGGAAAAGAGTATGTTGTCATTGAGAAATTCTGTGATGGTGTCACAAAACGAATATGAGAGGTAAGAAATTCATATACTGTGCTGCCCACGATGGCTCACGCCTGCAACCCCAGCACTTTGGGAGGCCGAGGTGGGCAGATCACTTGAGCAGAGGAGTTTGAGACCAGCCCAGGCAACATGGCTAAACTTCATCTCTATAAAAATACAAAAATTAGCTAAGCATGGTGGCCCTTGCCTGTAGTCCCAGCTACTCAGGAGGCTGAGACTGAGGGATTGCTTGAACCCAGGAGGCAGAGGTTGCAGTGAGCCAAGATCACACCACTGCACTTCTGCCTGGGCAACAGAGCAAGACCCTGACTCAAAAAAGAAAAAAATATGAGGAAGTTTACGTACTGGAAGGTAGGATAGATATCAAGAGATATTTTTAAATAATTACAGAGGTTGTTTTACTATGGTAAAATATACATAACATAAAAGTTAGCATTTTAACCATTTCAAAAGAGTATAGTTTTGTGGCATTATGCACATTCACATTGTTCTGCAACATCACCACCAACCATCTCGAGACCTTTTTCATCTTCCCAGACTGAAACTCTGTAGCCATTAAAGAATAACTCCACATATCCCTTCCTCACATACTCTGGCAACTACCAACCTCCTTTCTGTGTGTATGAATTTGACTACTTTAGGCACGTCAAATAAGTTGAATCATACCGTATCTGTCCTTTTGTGACTGGCTTATGTCACTTAGCATGTCTTCAATGTTCATCCCTGTTGTAGTACGTATCAGAATTTTCTTCCAAGACTGAGTGATATTCCATTGTGTGTATATGTGTGTGTTTGTATGTGTGCATATAACAAAATTTCTATATACATACACACTACATTTTGTTTCTCCATTCAATTGTCAATGGACCCTTTGGTTGCTTCTTGGCTTTTGTGAGTAATGTTGCTATGAACATCCGTATATATGTATATATATATCTGTACAAATCTCTGCCTTCAAATCTGAAAGGTTATCTTTGAAGGAAAAAAATAGTAAATGTATTTTTTGAAAGCCTACCCTCTGCCTAAAAATTGCTAACAAATTAAAATAAAATGTCTGCAATTAAAATGATCATCAATTTGAAAGTGAAATCAAGGAAATCCCCAAAGCTTACCATTTCCTTTGATGTTTCTGTCTTCGTCTTTAGATAGCAGTCAAAGATACACATTAGAAATCAAAGATTTCTGTTTCTAGGCCTTTAAGATATGTATGAAAAAATTAGTATAATCAGAGCTGCTAAGATGGGTCAGCTGGAAACAGCACCTGAACATCATTAAAGAATCAATATAGAAGCTTTGGAGAGGAGTGGTCATGCTCACTACCAAACTATCTAAATATAGAGATTTACTAAAAAAAGGAAAGAAGTTTGTAATCACACAATTGAGTATTAATGATGAACAATAACTAGTTGGTAAGAATTTTTTTTTTTTTTTTTTGAGACGGAGTCTCACTCTGTAGCCCAGGCTGGAGTGCAGTGACGCTGTCTCAGCTCATGGCTCACTGCCAGCTCCGCCTCCCGGGTTCACGTCATTCTCCTGTCTCAGCCTCCCTCCCAAGTAGCTGGGACTACAGGCGCCGGCCACCAAATCCTGTCTCTACTAAAAGTACAAAAAATATTTTTGACTCCCAGGAAAAGTACAAAGATGAGGAGAGAGGAGAGCAGTCCTGAAATAAACATGTATTTAGGCTGAAATTATAGTTTCTGTGAATCGGCCTTAGGTTTCACAACCACAATTTACACTTGTAAATAGGTTGAGGGTTCAGTGGCAAATATTTCCAATTTAGAGGTAGATATGACAGGATTAGAAAATAAATAAATAAGGAATTAATAGAAGTTTTTTTGGGGGGGTGCTATTACATTAAAATAATTAAACTACTTAAGTGAGTAAAACCTCAATTAGTAGTGGAACTCTAAATTCAGTTAATTTGTAATAGTTAACAGCAGTTCATTGAGAAGAAACTCCCACTGGCTTTAACAATACTGTTTATTTTTGGTGGAAAAGAGAATTGTGGCCTTCCTGATATTTTATTTTGGAATTGTTTGTCCTAAAATTGGGCCTATCCAACTTTATTTCTAGCCAGCCTATCCACAGATCCATTTAGAGCAAATCTGTTACCTCCCATGTAAGGGCCAAAACCTCTTAAGACATTTTATTTCAAAGTTTTGATGCTATCATAAAGAATCGACTCCTACAATACTAAGCTCTTAAGATGTCACATCATATTTAAGTAATAATGCATGCTGAAGATGCTAAATTTAATTGGTTAGTGTGAGAGCAATTTTATGAGAAGAATCCATCATTTTGGGGGCTAAACATTATCAAAAGAAATTCAAATATAAAGGAAAAAACCTTTACCAGAAACCAAATGTAAATATGGATGACAGATATTGCTTTTACACATGGGGGTTAATTTGTAGAATAAAGAGAGAATGGCTATGTGATAAGGCTTCTCTTGTGGGCAAAGTACGCTTCATATGGTCATTCTTTAGTTGAGCCATCCTTGTCCTTAATCCCATGTTGCACTGAACACCATATGCAGTTTAGTAGAGTGGCTAATAGCACAGATTCTATAGTTAAACTTCCTAGGTTCAAATCCTGTCTCTGCTTATTCCAAGATATGTGACCTTAGGCAGATAACTAAACTGCTCAGATCCTCAGGCTGATTCACTGTAAAATAGGCACAAGAAAAGGCATTGCTCATATTTTTTTTTTTTTTAACTATTAGTTAATATCTATAAAGCAATTAGAACTGGGCCTGCCATATACTGATAGCTCATTATGTGGTAAGCCATTACTATTGCTATGACTGAGAAAGTCGTTTCCTTCTTCTTTTTGGCTTCTTAAGAAGAATTCAAAGGCCAATTTTGGAGAAATCCCTAAGTAAACAGCCAGACAAAGGAAGAGAATCATAGGCTAGTTTTCATTTTAATCAAAATGTCTGCTATATTTTAATCATTTTAAGTTAAATGTCTTTTATCTACCTTATGTTTGTTGCTCAAGGTTATTTTATAAATTTTGCTCATTCATAAGCCACAAATTATCTTATTGTCTGACTTAGTTCTGACAGAGAACCAAGAAATGTGGCCTGAACTTATTTTTCAGAAATGGAATGAATCCCCAAGATGGCTTAAGGATGCCCTTCTGTTTTGGAATGCTTTCTCTTGGTGTATATCAAGGTTGGTTCAGTTTACCAGAGAAAAGATGCCAGGTGGGTGGCCTTTATAGAAAAGGTAAGCTTCTGCTAAGGACACTCAAAACCTTTTGCTTGACCTTTGCAGATTACCGACTCCTGTTTAGCCTTTCTCAGTAGTGCTTCCTTTATCTAACTTTTGCTCCCATACTCCTAGTTTCTTTTCATCTAATTTATAAGGTGTACAAAGCTATTCATCAATATATAATGGTCTCTGTGATTTCAGTACAGATGACTACTCCTTATGCATTAAATAATGTTCTATAAAACTATGTGTTAATGAAATGAAATGTGACTCTACTGGGGGATTTTAATACTTCAACTATTCCAAGTCTTCCCTCTTTCAATGTACTCTGTCTCACATTGTACTCTGTCTCACTTGTTCCATTGCATAATGGAGATGTACAAAGTGAAAATTGCCTAGCACATTGTCCCTTCTAAGAGAATAATAGAAAATCTTTGAATTGCTGAGCTTATTGGAATGTCTGTTACCTAAGAACAAGTGTTGCCAGTGAGACTAATTGTGTGTGTGTGCGCGCGCACACACACATGTGCACATGTGTGAGAAAGAGAAAGTGAGGGAATGAGAGAGGGAGACAATGCAGTATCTAGTTTATGTAAATAATTTCTATAGCATGAGAACATCCTATATGTTTAACTAAGAAAAGTTAATATGACTCCTGACAACTACATATACACAATTACTCTTTCTATGAATATGCAATTATGAAAAATAAGCAGGTTCCCAAATAATGTGGAATTCTTAGATGAAGCGTGTCAGTATTGGCACGTGTAGCATTTTAAAAGAGTATGGTTCTGTTTTATTTTTAGAATGTATTGACCTTAATGGAATAAAGTACCATTTAATAACCTTATTTTTCTCATAGGCTGGCATCGAAAGGGAAATCTTTCTTTGTTTACTGCTGAAGGAATATGAATCTATAAACTTTAGCAGTTTTTTTGTTTATTCGTTTTTGTTTTTTTGAGACAGGGTCTCATTCTGTCACCCAAGCTGGAGTCCAGTGACATGGTCACAGCTCACTGAAGCCTCAACCTCCTTGGCTCAAGCAATCCTTTCACCTCAGCCTTCTAAGTAGCTAGGAGCACAGGTATGCACACACAGCTTTTTTTCTTTTCTTTTTTTTTTTTGTTTGTTTGTAGAGATGGGATCTCACTTTGTTGCCTAGGCTAGTGTTAAACTCCTGGGCTCACGTGATTGACCTCCCAAAGTGCTGGGATTACAGGCTTGAGCCACCATGCCCAGCCAACTTTAACAGTTTTTAGCCAAGCCATGGCTAACTAAAGAGTAATTTTAAACTTTTATTTAAATAAAGTAATAATAAGTTGAGTAGTAGTAGTGTTTTGTTCAAACTAAGGGTGCCCTTCTCTGTTTAACCATCTCCCTTCCTAATAATCTAGTGTTCCATCCCATAGTACTCCAAAATTAAAGGCATCAATCCAGATTACCCAGTGACTCAGCAAAATGAGAAAAAATCTCACTGGAGTCCAGTGAGAATCCAGGGACTAAATGCCTTGCCATCCAACCCTATGGTCATATGCAAGTTTCCACAGGTATTCAAATTATATCCAGGGAAAAGGATCAGGGGTGGATAGTGGTAAGAAGACTTCTATGGAGTAGAAAAACAGCCCTGATTGATAGTATAACCTCTAAATTGAATGAATATATACCTATAGGAGCCTTTTAAACAGCAGAAAGCAGGATTTTCCCTACTTAACAAATATATGATTTTGTTGGTTCTCATGTTAGCAGTAGTAATGGAGGGCAGTGGTGAAAAGGGTTGGAAAGGGCTTGGTGGATTGGTGGAAAGGGGGACTGCAGAGTTTAAAAAGTCAATTATAAAGTTAGTCAACTATATAAATTAAAATTACTTTTTTGTACTTCTGAGTCAACGTATGTAACTATTGGCCCCTATAAAGATAGAAATAATGACATAACTTTATTACAAGTGTTTCAAACTAGAAAAATAATACCAGCTCCATCTATAAGATTTATAGAAGTATAAGTGTCCAGCATGGGAGGCCAAAGAGAATAATAGGAATGGTGACAGTAATAAAGGGGGAACAAAGTCCATCCCAAACAGAAATTTAAATTTCCATGAATATAGCCAAAATTTTTAAAGAGAGATCTTAAGAAGAGGAATTGAATGTGGATAAACAACATAGTTTTAGAAAAATGTGACCAACACTACAGTGTTTAACTGTCTGGTGAAGGAGAAAGACCACAGCCTAGGCTTTCAAGTGAAGAAGTGCCTAGTAAGAAAGACAGTGACAATCTGTTATAAAATAGACTCAAACAATCCCTTAATCTAGGTCTTTAATCTAGATGGAAAATGTCTGAATACTGCACCTGGACTCGCCAGCTATTTTTAGGATAGAGCGCAAGGAAAACTGTTTTTATCTTGGGACTTGTATTGATCCTGATTTAATGGTTTGTACTCCAGGGCTCCCAGAAAGAGGTGACACTTAAGAGTGACAAGAGGTAACATAATTTCCTGGTCTTATCTATAGTTTCTATTTACTACAGCTCTACATCAAGGGTCAGGAATATAAAGAAGAGAAGTGGCCATTTTCTTAATCCAGTCTATCATTGTTGGACATTTGGGTTGGTTCCAAGTCTTTGCTATTGTGAGTAGTGCTGCAATAAACATATGTGTGCATGTGTCTTTATAGCACCATGATTTATATTCCTTTGGGTATATACCCAGTAATGGGATGGCTGGGTCAAATGGTATTTCTAGTTCTAGATTCCTGAGGAATCACCACACTGTAATACTATGCAGCCATAAAAAATGATGAGTTCATGTTCTTTGTAGGGACATGGATGAAGCTGGAAACCACCATTCTCAGCAAACTATCGCAAGGACAAAAAACCAAACACTGCATGTTCTCACTCATAGGTGGGAACTGAACAATGAGAACACTTGGACACAGGAAGGGGTACATCACACACCGGGGCCTGTTGTGGGGTTGGGGGAGTGGGGAGGGATAGCATTACGAGATATACCTAATGTAAATAATGAGTTAATGGGTGCAGCACACCAACATGGCACATGTATACATATGTAACAAACCTGCACATTGTGCACATGTACCCTAGAACTTAAAGTATAATAAATAAATAAATAAATAAATATATATATATATATATATATATATATATATATATATATTTAGAAGAGAAGTGGTTTCTTAGGAAGAATAAGCCAATAGAATAATTCCTAGATTCTTAAAACTTCTGACAGTTATATTAAAACACTTAACAATTTGATCTCTCTAGAAAAATACCTTTAGACATTCTGGAAGATGAGAGGTCTAACTGCAGTTCAGTTATTCAATAATTCCTAAAAAGCCAGGTGAGGTGTCTATTTGATAAATTTCTTGAAAAGCCTAAAGAGTTCTATGAAAACTGATTAGCTATTTTCTATTTGTATTATGAATGAAATAGAGAGGAAAAAATAATAGATAAATCTCCAGGCATGAAGGATCAACATAATTTGCATCTCCAATTTTCTTCTACCTTCACCATCTTTTTCCTATTTGGCCTACTTCCACCATTCTTTTCTGTCTTAAACCAGTGTCCTCATGTCTACCACTGGACTTAAATTCTTAAAGGGCTCTGATTTTCCTCCTAACACTGCTTAGATGGTACCATCTTGCTTTGTGTCAACTCAGGTAGAAACAAGGTTTGACTTTTACAAAAGAAACTTTCACTAACATTTAAAGAAAAAGTTAAAAGTACTCCTATATTGACCAAACTCTTGACCGGAAGATAGCAGTATGACTAGCATAACTTGTGAGATCTCTCTGTCTTCTTTTCTTAGCCACAATCATCTCTTATGACCAGATTAAATTATTCCAATTGCTACATTGAGGCAGACATAGACTCCCTCCCCTGTCATATTGAGGTTGGTATGATTTGGGGGGTTTATTCTGTTTTTATATCAGAATGTCTTTGCCAGCTCTGGGGTCTAATGAGCTTCTGGTCTACATTTATCTTTGACTCATCCTACATTACCTTGAGTATCTAGATGAAGAAGGCACATTTCCATCTGAAAGAAACATCTAACACAGCACTTATCATTGTCATTTGCCCTTTCTGAATATTACTGAACTCTAGAGTTATTGGCATGCCATATTTTCCTGGAGTTTGAATTTGTCTGGTCCAGTCTAAAGAATCTTCAGAGGCTAGTTATTTAAATTAATTGCTACCAGCAATACTTTACTTTTCATCTACGTTAGCAACTCAGTTTAGCCTCAGAGTCAGTTTTTTGGTAGGTGGTCTCAGGCATGATGCCTGTCCTTATCCTCAATGGCTATAAGACCTCTCCCATTATAAAGCCGTTGCTGTATTTTAGATTGTCTGAGGCCTCCTTTAGCTCTCATCAGCTTGATACCAAGGTTTTGCTCAATTAATATGCACACATATTGCTGCTTTTTCCTCAGATCTAATAAGTTTAACTTAAAACACTTAGCAATTTCACACCTAAATAATCATTTTAAATAATCTAAATGTCTTAGGTGTTTCATTTATTCATCTTTGTTTTAAATATCATTTTTAAATGTCCTGAATGGTACTGCCTAGATTTTCTTCTAGGGTTTTCATAGTTTGGGGTTTTACATGTAAGTCTCTAATACTTTGCTGTATAGACTTTAATTCCTTCTCTTTCATTTAAATAATCTAAAATGTCTTTAATGCACTCTACCTCGTTTCCTCTCACAATCTTGCCATCATCCTAAGCTTTGGCTTGGGCAAAAAAATATCATATTTTCTTGTTTGGCCAGGTTGTATTTGAAATGCCTGTTAGACCCCAGTAGAAATATCAAGCAGGAAAGCAAATATACTAGCTTGAAATTCACTGGATTGGTCAAAACTTGTGTGGCAGATTGTACTTTTCATAATACCCAGAGGTGGGTCTACCTCTCTTCTTAAGTCTGGGTGGGCTTGTTAGTTGCTTGTGATTACAAGCAAGTAATAGCATGGGGTTGAAAGTGATGCATATGACTTTCAATTGCATGGAGTTGAAAGTGATGCATATGACTTCTGAGGCTGGTAAGAAGAGGCAATGCAACTTCTGTCGTGTTCTTTGGAACACTCATGCTTTATGCCCTGAGATACCATGTAAGAAGTGCCAGCACTCTGAAGCTGACATGCTGTGAGGAAGCCAAGCTATGCTCATCAGTCTGGCTTAGAGTCCAAACATGTGACTGATCAAACATTTAGATGATTCCAGCTCCTAGGCTGTGAGTCACTCCCAGCATGCACACCTTCTCAAAGAGTTAAGCCATTTTCCCTGTGCCCTTTTCAAGCTCCTGACCCACAGAATATGTGAGTATGATAACATACTTGTTACTTTATGCTGCTAAGTTTGCAGTGGTATGTCACAAATAAATGGTAAGTGACTATCTTTCATCACACCTTTCATTTCAGTGAAAGTTGGCCAGTGTCTGCACTGTGGGTACCAACTGAGCAAAAGCAGATTAAGCAAAGTAGACTTAGAAGGAATAGCGAGTGGGCCAGAAGGAGCACTAGGAGAATGTGGTGTTATGAAAATCAGAAGAAGAGAGGCTTTGTTCCCGTGTCCCCTATCCCCTCAGGATAGTATAGGATGTCCTGAGCTTGGGAGGGATATATTTTTTAGTGGTAAGAAGACTAAGAGTATGACTGTTAATCTCCTCCTTTCCCTCAAGGATAGGCTTCAGTAAGGGCAGAGAAAAATAAACCACTGAAGTTGAGAGTTAAAATAAAGAAAACATTCAAGTACACTTTAAAATGATATTTACAATGATTATGTAGACATCAGATCATTACCACCACCAGTGTCCAGCAGATGTAATTTCCCTAATTAATTTACAATCCAAATGATAGCTTATATCTTTCCCATTCTCTGAAAATCTAGGTAAAACTGACTCAAAACTTCTTCCTAAAATTTTCTGGACTTTCAGAGGCTTTTGTTCTCATAGCTACCTCTGGATTGCTGCTTTTTCATGTGCTATCTCTGATTTGAATCATATCTGCTCAGATGTGGAACACGGACTTTTCAATTTACACATTCACTCATACAAACGAAAAAAATGGAAGGAAGGTAGAAGAGGAATTGAAATTATAACAATCCAAACAACTTTGAGTAGAACAGTAGACACTATCATTCTTAACAGATTCTTTGTCCATCACACAATCAGTGTCTTACAATGACCTTTCACCCTACACAACTTCAAATCATCTCTCTGGTTGATCTGTCTTCTCTTTCTGTCTTCCTTCCTATTCACTCACTCTTAGAAAACTCAATCAAATCCAAATTATTTCTTACTTCTACATAGAAATTTTTCTTTCAAGGGGTTCAGGAAACAAAAATCTCTTCCATAGGAGTTGTTGTGGTTATGAACAGACAGAAAAGAAGCTATGTGCTTACTTTTTACTCATACTTAATGTTTTTTTCCCTAGGTTTTAGTTGATCTAAGTGTCCCGGTATGTTGTCTTAGTCAGCTCAGGCTGCTATAACAAAATACCATAGACTGGGTAGCTTTATAAACAAAAGATTTATTTCTCAAATGTATTCAGTTCTGGAGGGTGAGAACTCCAAGATCAAGACACTGGAAGATTCATTGTCTAGTGAGGATCCACTGACAGGTTCATAAAATAGCATGTGTCCTTCCGTGGCAGAAAAGGGAAGTGAGCCCTCTGTGTTCCCTTTTGTAGGGGCACTAACCCTGCTCCACCCTTATGATCTGATCATCTTCCAAAGGTCCCACCTGCAAATACTGCAGTTCTCTGGGTGGCCTTGGACTGACGCAGTTCTCCATCCTTTCTCAATTGTACCTCTCAAGAATTAAGTGTAGAATGTGCTGGCAATGCAAAATCTTGAGATAAAGGGGTGCTAGCTGGGACAGCCTAGGCTTTGTTCCAGTCTCCCTTAGGATAGGATAGAATGTCCTTCAGTGCTTTAGCTCAGCATCTCATGTGACATCACAGTATGAAACACAGGACTGGCTGCTTTTTGCAGTCTCTCTGCTAATGTGCAAGTGGGACATGCATAGTTGAGATTCTATGCACCCCAGCCAGCTTTCCTGAGCCTTGGGAAACTGGCTCACCATGAATCCTAGCTTCTGCTATCTCTTGCTGCCTATCTGTAAGTAGCAAATCTGCTTCACGTAATTTGTTGTGTGTGGGTGTTCTGTCTCACAAGACTCAGATAAGTTGGTAGCCAGTGCACACTGAACCTGCTTCACAAATACCATCACATATCATCACATTGGGTGTTAGGATTTAACATATGAATTTTGGGGGGACACAGACACTCAGTCTATAGCATATGTGTTCTGACATTTATGTATTTGAAAATATCTCTATGTTTGCTTTTATGCATAAGGATAACTTGACTGTGTTTTGAATTTTTAAGCACCATCATTTTGTTTACAACTCTGTGGTTGACACTCCTTTCTTTCTCTCATTTAGTGTCATAAAGAAGAATATTTGAAGCTCTATAAATATGTTGCTTTACGTGGCAAAAAGGACTTTACAGATCTGAGTACACTGGATTATCTGGGTGGGCACAATGTAATCACAAGGGGCTTTCTAAGAAGGAAGAAGGAGGGTTCAAGGCAGAAAAACCGGAAGAAGTTATAACATTGGCTTTGAAGATGGAAGATGGGGACACAAGTCAAGGAATTCAGGTGGCCTCTAGAAGCCTGAAAAGTCAAAGAAATGAATTCTCCCCTAGAGCCTCAAGAAGGAACACAGCCCTGCTGACAGCTTGATTTTAGGATTTCTGACCTCCAGACTGTAAGAGAATTAATTTATATCATATAAGTCACTAAGTTTGTGGTAATTTGTTAATCAACAATAGTAAATTAATACAGACTACCTTTAGTTTCATAAGTAAAAATATCCTCTTTAATTGTTATTTACATTTATATGAATCAAAATTTTCCTAGAAGGATTTTCTGCTTATCACAGCAAATTTATTTTTAAAAGAAGGCAGGTTTGATTCTTCAAAGAAGCTATGTAGTCTAAACTATAGGATCTTTCCTGAAATCTGGTAATTTTCCCCAGTTTGGTCATCCACAGAGAGCCATCTGTGCTTTCCCTGTCTTGTTTTATGGCCAAAAAGAAATGGGCATGGTTTCTGTTAATCTGATACAATTTCCTACTAGAATATATCTTGTCTAGATCAACTCTTTCCTTTGTCATAGAAATAAAATAACTCAAGCTCCCATGCAATGTAAGTACGGATAATCCAGTTGCTTCCCAAATAATTTCTGAGGATCCTAGGTAGGTGCTTACAAATGTTAGTAACTACTTGCCACCTCTCACTATGAATCATTCTCTTCTTAGTAGCTAGTCTTAATATATAGATAATACCATGTTATTTTCTTATTTAAGGAAGAGTGGGTTGCTCATTTTACTTAGGAAAAAGTCAAAAATACTTAAACTCACAAATTTCAGTATGGTCTGTTCTTTGCCTACCTTTCAGAATCGTTTTCTGCTAACACCTCTCACAGTTGTTGTTTTGGGGCCTTAGCAAATTTCTTCCCACCTCAGGACCTTTGCATATGTCCTTTTCTCCATGAAATGTTCTTTCTTTCCCAGTTTGCCCGCTACCGATTCCTCATCTTTCAGGTCTTATTTCAAGGGTTACTCCCTCAAAGTGTTGCTCCCATGATCCTGCCTGACTACTGAAATCAGCTCCTCCTATTATGGCTCCTAATAGAATCCTATAGTTTTTCTCAGTGATTATTTAACAACTGTTCCTTCTACAAGGCTCTAAGTTTTAAGAAGGCAGGGATGGTTTGTTTTATTACATTCTCCCTCTTCAGTCAAGCTCAAAGAATATATGAGTGAGTGAATGAATCTGAATTGCTGTTTCTGGCCATTCCATCTTACCCTCTGTTCCATTCCATCAACTTATCTTGGCCTTAGGGCATGAGAGCATCTCTCATCTTTGTTCTTCATTCCTCAAGGCAGTGCTAAAGGAAGGCTGACACCAGGTTCCAGAGGTTTTTTTTAAAAAACAAAAAACAAAAAAAAAAACTTCACTTATTCCTTCAAAATATTTATTGAACATCTGTACACTAGGTACTATTCTAAACGCTTGGTGGTTCACTCTTGGATTCAGTGGTGCCAGGTCATTGCCCCATGAGGACTTGCAAACATATGATATAGTCCAAACGTTTTAGTCAACATAAATGAGGCTGTGCTCCTGATGACATGATGCCTGAGATTTATCTTTAGCCCTAATACCTCCAAATCTCAAGGTGTGTTGGTATTAATTGGTTAGTATGTTCTCTACTGTATTATGGGTACATTGCTTTCCTAGAAGAGGATGTTTGACATGGGTACTCCATGCCTTCCAACAGTATAATCCTATCTGTATTACTTTTAACAGAAATGCCCCCAAAGTTTCCTGCATATGGCCAGTATTCATCTTTCCTTTCTGTTGCTACCATAGAATTATTTTCCTCTTTCCCCCTTAAAAATATTATATTGGACATTTCAATGGGAATTTGGGAGCAGGGAGATAAAAACCTGCTCTTATCATTACATTACCCAGAAGTTTTCAGAGATTTCTTCATCAGTCTATGGTCTCCTTACTCTCTGTTTCGCCTTTTATCTATTTATTAGTTTATTTTTGTTATGAGTTGGAACTGGATTCCAGGAAAGTATTATGTACATTAAAAACTCAAGAGTATCTATGTAGCATGAATTATTCTGTAACAGATTGTCCAGATAGTTTCAGAGGAACATTTCATGACTCGAGTAACATTTGCATTTCATAGTTGATTGAGTAGCCTTATGAAATGAATCAGCACTGTCATAAATACTTCGCACTATTGACTCACTCCAATATATTGACATTTGAATGTTCATTACCCTTATCCAATCAATTCAACATTGCTAACTTTACTTCTAGGGCAGAAGATTTTTGTAGCCTTCTTCTATATAATTTGGAAGGAGAGAAGAGACAAAGCTCCATGATGTATGAAAGGGCAGTAGAATCATTCTATTTTATAAGTGAATTGAAGTGGCATCAGATGAGACCCAACCACGTTATGTGTGAAAATATGAAATAGGAAAATGGGGATAATATTTGGGTATAAAATGAGATTACTATGTAAAAAACACTGTCCTCAAAATAGAGTTGTTCTTTTGAACTATATAAATGGGGAATTATCTTAGAAGACAGAACTTCCGTTACTAGTTATGGTTGTTATCCATTAGAAAGACTTCTTAAGAGTGGCTTATAAGCATCCTCTTAAACATCCTTGAAAAACAGTAATTTTTTTTCTTATATGTCTGAGATAGCTAAATAAAGCGTGGTCTTTTCAGAACTGAGATCAACATAATATACCATTAATTTTATCTAATTGCTTATTGAAGTGGTCCCAATTGTATGACACTTTTTTCTCACCTAATATATCTGGTAGATAGGAAGTAGAATAGAAGCAGTATTGTATATCCTTTTCCACCAGGAAAGGGAGTATTTTTGATATAATAATATTACTTTGGGCTTTCTATATTGCAAAAAAGGAATATATATTCCTTTAAACTATAAAGTATCTATATTCTATGTAGTACTAAATTAATTTCCCTTAGGATCTTTTTAAAAAAATGAATGTGGTGAAGAGGCAGTGGGCATATCATTAATTTCATTTCATAGAAATAACACAAATGAATTTTTCTTTGTTGTAATAGGTAAAAAGTACCATAGGTCTAAAATAAAGCATTAATCTACTCTAACTCTTTCTATTCTATGTGCTGAGATAACCCAATGTAATCAGTATCGAGATGGTATATGCCTTCCACAACTTTTCTATGTTCAAATTAATATATACAGAAATACTATGTAAAACCAAAAAAAATGTAGTTTAGAATTACAGTAATCAAAAAAATATGGTGTTGGCTAAAGAATAGACCATTCTCATATATATCACGCTATATTCTGTGTGGTTATCACACACAAGTAGTTAGTGTCAGCCTCCTGCTCAAGTCTCCAGTGATTTTCTATTGTCTATAGTAGTGATGTCCAACATAACTCTCTATAATGATGGAAATATTTTATAATCTATACTGTCCAATAGGGTAGCCACTAGGTACATGTGGCTAAGGAGCACTTGAAACATAACTCATGAAGCCGGTACCGAATTTTTCATTTTGCTTAATCTTAATTTTATTAATTAATTTTTTTTTGACAGAGTCTCACTCTGTTGCCTAGTCTGGAGTGTAGTGGTGCAGTCACTACTCACTGTAGTCTTGTCCTGGACTCAAGCCATCCTCCCATTTCAGACTCATGAGTAGCTGAAACTATAGGCATGCACCACCATGCCCAGCTAATTTTTGTATTTTTTGCAGAGATAGGGTCTCATCATGTTGCCCAGGCTGATCTCCAATTCCTGGGCTCAGGCAATCCTCCTGCCTTAGCCTTCCAAAGTTCTGAGATTACAGGCATGAGCCACCATTCCCAGTGTCTTGATTCGTTTAAATGTACACGGTCGCAGGTGTTTCATGACTTCCGTGCTACACAGCCAAGGTCTATAATGTCAAGGCTAAACTCTTTATCAAGTACTCAAGATCCTATATAATTTTAGTTGAGACAAACTGAGCTCAAGGTCTATAGGCCCTAAGAATAAAAACTGAAAGACCTTAGAATCTGTTTATTTTCTATGGGAAAGGGGGCAGGTGGGGTGAGGGGTGCAGAAGTAGGTTTTGACTCTTGTTCCATAAATATCTGCATGTTTGCAATGAAAAGCTTAAAGAAAAAAGCTGTTTGTGGAAGACACAGAAACAAAATCCCCCATTTTTCATAAAAGTGTTTTAAAAGATGTGGGCCAATACCTTCCTACTCAAGAGTATTCTCAGGATTGAGAAAATTGAGGAAGTACATTCATATCTAAGGAGATATTTACTATGCTAGGTTCTTTGCCATCTTTTCATTTAAACCTTACAATACTCCTGCAATATGTCTCCCTTCTTTTTGCCAATAAAGAAACTGTTTTCAGAAAATGATCAAACTGAGTAGAAAAATGGGTAGAGCTATGGCCAACAACTAATTTTACAAAGTACAAATGCCTAATAAACAAATGAGAAGTTTCTTAACCTTACTAGTAATCAGAAAAATAAAAATTAAAACAACACAATAATTTGCCATCTCATTGGGAAAATATAAAAGACTGAAAAACAGGCAGTGTAGCAAGTATTCATTCAACAAGCATTTATTTCATTGCCTGCTACATGCCAATATAGGAATTAGAATATGACACCCCAAAATATGCCACTTTGATATAAGGATGATTTGGAGCTGAAAGCAATTGAGGAGCAACATTGATATGGTTTGGCTCTGTGTCCCCACCCAAATCTCATCTCGAATTGTAATCCTCAGGTGTTGAGGGAGAGGCCTGGTGGGAGGTGATTGGATCATGGGGGTGTTTTCCCCCATGCTGTTCTTGTGATAGTGAGTGAGTTCTCACAAGATCTAATGGTTTTATAATTGGAGGTTTCCCCTGCTCTCTTTTCTGCTGCCTTGTGAAAAAGGTACTTGAAGTTTCTTGAGGCCTCCCCAGCCATGCTAAACTGTAAGTCAATTAAATCTTTCCTTTATAAACTACCCAGTCTCAGATATTCCTTAATAGCAGTGTGAAAATGGACTAACATGAGCACACACAGGAAGAACTTTCCGGCCTCCTCCTTTCTGCCTTACAGTGGTGTATAAATTTTCCTTTGTAAAGGCAACACAGATTTTCATTTGTAAAGGTGTTTTTCTCTCCAGTCCCGAGTGTAGGATAATTATTCTTATCTGCCTAACAAAACTTACTAAACAAGCCTTATCTACCCCAGATTTACCAGTCTCTGTTCCATAGTTTACTGCCCCTAGGAGCCCTCATTTCTTTTGTCTAGTCACTTCTCCATAATATATCACACTTTGTTAAAATGGTATATATGCCTACAAGTCTAACTTCTTTGAGTTTTCACTTTCTTTCTGTGAGACCCTATGCACATAAAAAAATTTAGCATCAATAAAGATACATACACCTTTTTTCCTGTTAATCTGTCTTTTGTCAATTTAATATGCAAGCCTCAACCACACAACCTCAGCCACTACTACAGGTGCTGATGAAATAAGACTGATCAACATTCTGCTTTCATGATAATTTGGAATAAAACAAAAAAACCCTAAATATCCATCTAAATAAAAACGATTAAATGATGATACATCTACACTATGGAATATTAGAAGACATGTACAACTGGAATATGATAAAATATTTATATATTGATGCAGGTTGGGGAAGCCACAATACTATTAGTTGATAAAAATCAAGATGTGAAACAGCAAGTAAGGTATTATCTGATTTACGTAAAAATAAAACAATTTTAAAAGCTATTATACAACCTACATCATCCTGGCCAGTTTATACCCTCATTTTGAAAAGATCCTCACATAGGATCATATTCCAAGAAACAACTCTCCTGCAGCCAAAGATAACCGAAAGCAATGTGCATCCTAATTGCACTTCCTCACAACATTGCCAAAAGGGGAAGTACATTCAACTCTTAAAAATGCTCTTTTTCTTTCTCTTTCAGTCTCAGTTATCTCAGAGCAGCTGTTCTCCACAAAAAACTTTCATATTCCTCTCTCCTTATTCCCTAAAAATTTCTCCTACATCCAATAGGATTGAATTCTTGTCTTTTCTGTTTCTCCTCTAGCCTTCTTAATTATTTTTCTCCCTAGCATTTCTTTTTATTTCAATATGAATTTCCTGGCTTCCTGAGATCACTCCTTGTCTTTCCCCAACTCATTACCCCAATAAGCATATTAAAGACTCAGGATTTAGTGACTAATTGTTTAAGGATGGGGGATCATGACTGATGACTGGAGAGGGGGAAAATGTGTTTGTTATACTGTTAATTGAAAAAAGCAGAATAAAAATATTATATACACACAATTTGAGTATAACTGTGGAAAGCATATAACCTAAAACCTTTTACGGGATAAAAAATAAAACACTAAAAGGAAATGCACTAAAATGTTAACAGAGAGTATTTTTAAAAATTTTTTATGGGCAATTCCCCCTCTATAATTACTTCTTGATATTTTCTTAAATATTTACTATAAGCATGTATTTTATTTTTATTTATTTTTTATTTTTATTTTTATTTTTATTTTTGAGACAGAGTCTCACTCTGTTGCCCAGGCTGGAGTAGTGTTGTGATCATAGCTCACTGCAGCCTCAATCTCCCAGGCTCCCAATCCTCCCACCTCAGCCTTCTGAGTAGCTGGGAATACAGGCACACACTACCACACCTGGCTAATTTTTTTTACTTTTTATTAATAATTTTTGGTAGAGACAGGGTCTCGCTATGTTCCCCAGATAAGCATGTATTTTATAATAAATAGATTTAAATATTGGTATATCTTAAGGAATTTGATAATTGTGTATCTCTCAGCTGGAATCTATATTTTTCACTCATTTCTAGATCCACAGACATCTGAGTGTATTTGCCTGAAATAACAAGGAGTCTTCAGTGAGATAACTCAATATAACAGGTAACAGAAGGGGAAGTCAGGAAGACTAGGTTTGTCCAATTACTTTTATGATATCTAAAGAAAAATAAATCTGAATATAACATAATATCTTTCACTTGTCGTGTCCACTAGCTCCCAACTGCATGCTTAGGTCCTGAAATTGGCAGTGAGACTTAGAGGAAAACCTAAATACACTGTTTACATTAAAACATTTGTTAGCCCCTGTAGTGGAAGTAGTAAAGCAGTAAGAGAAATTGTGACCCAAAGCGACAAGAGAAGCCTTTGCTTCTGTGTGGACCACAACTTGGTTTAAGTGTCTTAAGGGCTGCAGAAAATCCAGGTCCATTTTGATGCCTTGCAAGCTACAGAATGTCAGAGATAGAGCTGTGTGGAAGAAGGCAGCTAGCAACATTAGCCAGATACTTCCACCTAGTTCATTAGGTAAGCTATGTGTCAACAGTAGATACCAACCAAAAGGTTCACAGTAGGAGAGACAAAGTGATGGAGCACATCTGAGATAGTCATTGGGAATGGTCAGGAATATTTGGGGAATAGAAGGTTCGTTCAAGACCCTTAGAGGATGTTGTTGCAATTGCATGAAAGGTAAGCCTAAAAACATGACTTACATGACACACAGGAAAACTATTTCTTACTTCTCCTCTGAAGGTGTCAACTCTATTCTTATTGAACATTCAGCTTCTGCTTAAAAATCATTCGGCCAGCTCCTCTTCTCCTCCTTATCCAGCTCATGTTTTTGGTTACTGCAGGGATGTTAACTGGGGGGGAAAAAGGATGTAGAGTGTAAATATAGTCTTATAGTTAACCTTTTATGGTGCTCGTATTTGGGGAATGGACAGGGTAAGAATCATACCACTTTTGGCTAGTCAATATTTGGTTTACTACATTCAATTGTTTGAGAGATAATCTGATACATATTTACATTTACATTTTGTTTGGCAGCAGGGTTCTACAAATTAATATGCTTAAAAATTTTTTATTGAGCCTTTTGACTATAAATGAAAAATAAAATTCTAAGCCCCCGAACTAACTGAATGGACCCCTCTTTTCAGCCAAGGACATTCCAAAGTTAACTGGAAACACCAGTTCAGGCCATGATGGAAATGGGTGGTTGGGTATGCATACCCTCTGCCCTTTGAAATTCCCACACAACTGACCAGCATTAATATTAAAGCACAGACCTTTGGACTGACGAGACAGACTTTTTGTAGCAATAAGATACCAACATGACAGATACCAGGCCCTGAAAAAAAATGAAGCAGTTTATCCCCAAATATATTTCTTTGACATGTTTTGAAATGGCCCTGCAAACATTCTCTTGTGGAAAAAATCTACATTCTGTAGAGAATCCCCTTCCCTTTCCAAGTCTTTTTCCTGATCCAGAAGAGAATTAACTAAGAATCTGGCATCTTTTTAAGTCTGATAAGAAACATTTAAAGTCTATTCTCTCTGAAGCCTGCTACCTGGAGGCTCCATCAGTAAACTAATACCCTTGGTCTCCACAACCCCTTATCTTAACCCAGATATTCCTTTCTGCTGATTCCAGGTCTTTAGATAAACTCAGAAAATCTTTGAATCCACCTATGACCTGGAACTCCCCCCTCCTACCCCCCTTTCAAGCTGTCGGGCCTTTCCAGACTGAACCAATGTACATTTTACAAGTATCGATTGACGTCTTCTGTCTCCCTAAAACATACGAAACCAAACTGTAGCCCAACCATCCTGGGCACATGTTCTCAGGACCTCCTGAGGCTGTATCCCGGGCATGTCCTTAACCTTGGCAAAAGAAACTTCTAAATTGATTGAGACTTATCTCAGATACTTTTTGGTTTACATGACATATTGATATGACATTTTAAATTATTTTTAATATTCTAATTCTTCATTTATATAGACAATGAAGAATTATGTCATTTGGATGATTAAGTTTATACTTTGTAATGATCTTATATGTAAAGAATGCAGAGGACATAGATACTTGGTCTGATTGTTTATCTAATGGGCTTGGAATTCCATTTACCTGAATTCTATTATTTTCAAAATTATTAATTTCAAAATTTCTATGTCAGGAACTGCTTAGCTGTTTAGAGATTGTAAGTTTATGAGTGCAAATGGCCTCCTGATTTTTACAGAACAAAAATACTAGCTCTTCTTTGGCAGGCAAAACACGTTCACTGATATGATCTCCTTATCTCACTTTAAATAACAAAAATTGGCTTTTTCTGAATGTTTTGTCTATGCATCATCTTTAACATTTTAATTGATTTGAAATGATCTTGGCCTTGTAAAGTATGCTTACTAAATGGTTGGGTTTTTCTTTTTCTTTTTAACCAGTGTAAGCATTTTATAGCACCCAGTTCTTTGAAAAGCAGAACGCATGCCATACCTACAAGTTGGCATACAGCCAAGAAAGTCCTTTTGTGTGCGTGTATTTGTGGTGAATCATTCATAGCCTGTAAGATCTATCAAAATAGCTTTGTTTGAAAACCTAGTTTTCCCCATATTTTTTTTCTGATGACTCACACTTCACTGCTTTCATGTCTAGATTCTCTTTTCTTTCTTGTTTCTCATCATGTTCATTCAGAAGATGTTCTTTCACTAGTTCCAAAATTTGTATTTCTATATTCTGTCAGTTTTCATCTTGAAACATACACACAGCAATATGCTCTGAATCATAAAATTCTGCATTAAATCCCAACACTTAAAAAAAACACATATTCTCAATATAGGTTTACCTGCTCCTGTTGCCATTTTTATTTAGTACAAATTTATTAACATTTAAAAATCATTGGCACTTATGAAACTTGAAACTTTATTTTACTGTTAGGAAGATTTTGGCTGCAAGAAATATAAAAACCAATGCTAAGTGGTTTAAATCATAAGAACACTTAACACTTCATGGATGAATATGAAAATATGGTGGTTCAGGATTAGTTGAATTAGTAGTTCAATAATGGCCTCAAAGACTCAGGATCTTCCTATCTTTCTCTTTTGCCATTCTTTTAAATCGATTTTATTAAGGCATAATTTATATATAATTCAATTTTAAGTGTATAACTAGAGGAATTTTGACAAATGTATAATAATGTATCTATTACCACAGTAAAGAAATTTAACATTTGCAACGTTTCAGCTCCTTGCAGTCAATCCCAGCTCTTCGATTTCGAATAAATTATTATATTATATATACTCCTTTGTGTCTTCTTTTACATAGCATTGTGTTTTTGATATTCATCCAGCTTGTTGACTGTATTGGTGCTTTGCTCCTTTTTATTGCTGAGTGATAGTTCATTGTATAGTAGATATAGTATAATTTGCTTATTCATTCACCAGTTGATGGAAATTTATTTCCAGTTTTGGCTATCACATATGAAGCTGCTCTAAAGATTCCCCTACAAGTCTTTGTGTGGATACAGGTTTAGATTTATCTTGGGTAAATATGCGAATGCTGGGTTGTATGTTAATTATATGTTTGACACTATAAGAACCTGCCAAACTGTTTTCCAGAGTGGCTGTACCATCAACAGCAATATAAGAGAGTTCCAAGTTGTTCCAAATCCTTGGTAACTTATTAGTATTTTTTGAAAAGCAAAAGTTTTTCATTTTGATGAAGTTAAATTGTCAATTTCTTCTTTTAGGTTTCCAGCTTTTAAATTTTTTATACTTTATAAGTGCACACATTTAAAGATTATATAGAGTTTCTGCTAGGTTTTCTCTAAAAAGTTTGAGATTTAGATCTTGTATTTAGATTTAGCTGTATGATCAGTTTCAAGTAAATTTTTACATGGGGTGTGAATTAAGGGTTGAGGTTTCTTTCTTTCTTCTTTTTTTTGTATATATGGATGTCTAGCTGTTCTAACATTTGTTGAATATTCTGCCATTCCTGGGGCTTTAGATTAGTACTTTTTCCCATCTTTGTGGTCACACGATGACTGCAGCCATTTTAACCATCACATCAGAGACTATCTCTTCCAAGAATGTGTCCAGCAAACTTCTTTTCACCTCGTTACCTAGACTCAGCACATGCTTATTTTGTACTGTCTAAACCAATCATGGGAATTGGAATGGGGCCAGCATGGTTCATTTATTCATTGAAGAAGGAAATGGTTGCCCATATCCTTTCTAGGGGTTGGGGATACAGTAGTGACGAAAACAGGCAAAAATGTTGCCTGACCTCATGAAACATACAATTTACTGAAAAAGATTGTCTTTTGTCAAAATAAATAATAAACTGTATAATATATTGCTGTATAGCAGTAGGTACTGGGAAAAATACAGGGAAAGAGGCTACGAAATATTGTGGGTGAGCTGAAATTTCAGATAGGATGTTTAGGAAAGGTCTCACTGAACTGACTTTTAAATAAAGACCTGAAGGAAGTGATGGAGCAGTCTATACGGATACCAGGTTGGAGAGTGGTCCAGGTGGCAGTAAATGCGAAAAGTTCTTGAGAACAGCAGGCCACTGTGGTTGAAGAGAGTAATAGGACATTGGGGAGTGGGAGTGCATAATAGGTAGATCAGTGTTCTTTTCAACGACTGGCAATTTTGGCAAAATTTCGTCATGTTGGGGGATATTTTGGTTGTTAACTTGTGTGGGAGGGAGTGCTGAGGAGACCAGGGATACTGCTAAATATCCTACAATGCACAGGACAGCCTATCTCTCAATCCTCCTCCTTCTCCCAAACCCCCAACAAAGAATTATCCAGGCTGACTGTCAATAGTGCCCAGGTTGAGAAATGCTGTTTAAAGTCATAGCGAAGACTGGCTAATTGTGAGTAAATTGGAATAACACTGAATTGTTTTAAGCTCAGTAATTATTTAAGCGTTAAGGATCATGTGGCTGCTTGCTGTGAACAGACTAAAGGGATAAGAGGGTATAAAACATTTAGGAGGGTAATACAATTACCTAGAGAAAAAATATGGTTTGGGCCAGAATGCAGGTAAGGGTGCTAAGTGATAGATGCTGGATGTATTTTGAAGGTTGAGCCAACAGGATTTACTAACACTGGATACATGCCTGTAGGGAGAGGAACCACCTACAAGTAATCTGCTGTGGTTGCTACTGGAGTTGTTTCTTCTCAAAAGGGAGCCGGGGAAGTGGTGGAAAGCTAAACAAATTTGGAAAGGAGGAAAGAGTACCCAATATGGATATTAGGATTATTATGCATCTGTTACATAAATATCTGTAATTATGCATCTGTTATATAAATATCTTAAGAAAATAAGAAAGGACACTGTTGGACCAGTGAATGACTAAGGGCACAATTATTCTATGGACTGTTTCTTTAAAAATACTTTTTTGTTTGTTTTTAGAAACGTCTTCTCATGCCATCTTTCATTTTGGTGACAGTCTGAAAGATGTAGGGAGCCCCAATTCCTTATTCTATCAAAGTCATTAAAGGGCTCTAATTTTCCTTTCAGTATTTGTATCCCAACCAATTATTGGTGGTTACTATGTAGAATGCTGACGTATTAATAATCTTTGTCTAAGCATTTGTTTGGTTTAGTCTAAAATATAAGCTTACTATGAGTCTTTTTTTTCTTTCCTTCGAGACTGAGTTTCCCTCTTGCTGCCCAGGCTGGGGTGCAGTGGCGCGCTCTCTGCTCACTGCAATCTCTGCTTCCTGGGTTCAAGCGCTTCTCCTACCTCAGCCTGCCGAGTAGCTGGGATTACAGGCGTCCGCCACCACGCCTGGCTAATTTTTTGTATTTTTAGTAGAGATAGGGTTTCACCATGTTGGCCAGGCTGGTCTCAAACTCCTGACCTCAGATGATCCACCCGCCTCGGCCTCCCAACGTGCTGGGAGTACAGGCGTGAGCCACCGCACCTGGCCACTATGAGTCTTTATGTATTAGAAAACTGCTTAATAAAGTCCTCACCTTATTGTCATAATCTTATAACCAATAACCTTATAATCTAACAACAAGGGTTATTTCCATTTCACAGACAAAAAAACCTGAAGTTTGTTAATTACGGTGTTAAATTATCCTACGATTAATGGCAGAAATAGGTCCTGAACCAATATGCCTTTGAGAACTTAAACGCGGTGAGTTACATACAGGCCCTCCTAACTGGAGTCTTCGCTAGTACCAATAGTTAGTTGCTCGGCGAGAGCTCGGTAAGGACTAGCCATTTGGAAGCTCGTAGTACTCAGGTTGTGGTACAGGAGATCTAACACTCCTACACAAATGCATGTCGTGCTTATTTCGTACCAAACTGGTCTGGCGGCGGTTCTTCGTCCAGACGCTGGCGGGCCAGGGTGGAGGTAGTAACACAGCTCCCATTCCCCATGTAGCCGCGCCCTCTCCTTCCCCTGGGCGTCTCCGGGGCGTGGACAGGCCGCTGAAAGGAACCGGCTGCGGCCTGTGTGAGGCTCCGCGGGCCGCTGCACTGCGAGGCCGACGCAGCTGGAGAGAAGTTAGGCAGGTCCTAGGGAGGGCAGGCTCGAGTGCTGGGCCCGCCTCCCCGCGGGACTGTAGGCCCGGGGGCTCCGCCTCGTCGCAGCGGCAGGTAGGAGGCGGTGCGCGCGGCCCGGCGACGGGGGATCCTGAGGCCCGGTCAGTCTCTTGCTCTGGGGTCTTGGGTGGCGGGCGGCACCTCCGCTTGCAGTGCCGGAGCCGCGGCCCCGCTCGGAAAAGGGCTGCCGTCGGAGTTAGATGCCGGGGACTCCGGGCCGTCCCAGCCCCCGGGCCTCAGCTCCGGCCCGGGCAGAGTCGCTGCTTCCGCGTTTGGTTCTTTTTTCCCCGCTGGGAGTGAGAACAAGGCGTCCCCTTCTACTCACGTTTGCCAAAAGCGGGTCCGACGTGTTAGCGGAAAAGTGGGTGGAGTTTCTCTTTTTGCCGGTGCAGAGAGAACTTGTGGCGGGAAGTTGGGGCGCGGGGTTGGCCGTAGGTCCCCGGCGTGCTAAGGGCGGACGGACCAGGCGGCTGGGCCGCGCTGCTTCTCGTTACCTTCCGCAGGGTCAGGGGCCGCGGCGGGGTTGGAGGTCAGCCCAGGCACATGTTAACCCCTGGGTACCAGTTTGCTCGGAAACTCGTGTTGAGGACTCATCTTAGCCCTGGGAAGGTACCCAGAAGCCGAAGGGACACCCCTGACAGGGACGGGCCCTGAGAGGCTGTCGTTTCCCTTGGCAGATGAACTCGGGACTCGCCCCCAGGATGTACATTTCGTAGAGTCTCCCTTACCGCCTCAAGCCCTGAGGCCGCTGCCTTGCCCCAAAGTGTATTTATCTTTTTTATAATTATTTAGAATTTATTCCTTAATCAGTAGTTTACACTTTGGAGACTTTAAGTTTTAAATCAGTAAATCTGTAATAGGCACCAGCCTATATAATGTACTGGTCAAGGGAAACCTCCACAAAAACTTTTCCTGCTTTATGATACAATCAATGCTCTAGGCATAGTTCACCATCCAAATTCCCAGCCCTTGTGTGCCTATCAGGAGGAAGGTGAATATTGTTAAAGATACACGCAGCGACTCTACCTGGGACAATACTGCTAAGTAAAAAAGCAGTTAAGTGAAGGAGGAAAAACCCGTTAAAGGAAAAACAGATACTTTCTTTTATGGAAGCTAGGAAGATTATATTAAGAAAACTTTACATTTACGTATATACGTTTTTAATTAACTTTCATGTCAGAAACTCTTAATAGTTTTAAATACTTAGAGGATCATGGTTACCTTCACATTTAAATTATTTTCAGGCATGTATGCTGGCATATGTATTTTCCCCTAAGAAATTTTCTCTTTTAACTCAGAATTTCCCATTGAGAAATTTGCTAACCTATGTACAATTATAATTAGTTGATTAAAGTTGCATGGCTGTGCTGTGGAGATTATGCTTTTGTTGTTGGTGGCACAGTTGTAATCTCTAAGGCAGGACTGTTTTCACTGTGATAAACTGAGAAAGAGGGTAAGAAGACAAAATGCTGAGAATATTTTGGCAGCCCGAGAACTGATGGCCTAGTATTCTGCTAAGTTACATATCCGTGAAAATCCCTGGCTCATTTAACAAATGTTTACTGAGTACCTAGTATCACGGTGGTGAGATGTCCATTGCCATTGTCTGTGTCTTCCCAATCCAATCCTGTGTTCTTTTCTAGTGACTGAAGACCTTCTCACTTTTAACATTTTACATTCTCAGTGACAGCAATATTTCCATGTACATGAAATTTATTTTCTTTCTTCATTGGAAATTGTTAATTTCGTGTTTCTTAAGGTGTGTCCTGCACTGTTAATATGTGCTATAGAACCCCGAAATGAATTTTGGATGAAATTTGGTTAGTTTGCTTCTGTTTTTTTAAAATATCTATACCTCTTAGATCTCAGTATTGTAATGTATGTGAATTTCTAATTTGAATATAATGTGTGGGCTTTTCCAAACTGAATTAACTTTAGAATCCTAATTTCTGGGAACCTGGGAAAGTTCCCTATTGAAGACATTTTGGGAAGTGTATTTTAAGAGTTTTGTTTGTTTGTTTTTCTTTTTACCCATTTATCTCACCCCTTCTGCCAACAGAAGTGATGCCACCAAAAAGAAATGAAAAATACAAACTTCCTATTCCATTTCCAGAAGGCAAGGTTCTGGATGATATGGAAGGCAATCAGTGGGTACTGGGCAAGAAGATTGGCTCTGGAGGATTTGGATTGATATATTTAGGTAAAGTAAAACCTTAAATTAACAATTATTCTTATATCTGTGACTGTAACCGTGATTACTTAGTGGTATTTTAAGAATGGAAATATGGAATTCATATGTGTACTTTATTAAAATTCATGATTGTACTCGATTAAGTAATAATAGAGTACAGTGTCTAGGTTCAAGACATCACTGACCCACTCCTTGTTGTCCATGTTTTTCTGAGTAAATCTTAGAAGTCTTTTTAGAGCATAATTATACAATCTGCCAGACAAAATGCTAACTTTCTTTTTTTTTGAGAGCTTGTTTTCTTAGAAACATGCTTTTTTCAGATGAGAAACCACAACTGTATAGATAAAAACACTTTCTGTTTGTGAATCTTAATCAATATTTAGGCAATACAAGAGTCTAGTCATTTCTTAATTGGGCTCTACTGGAGAATTCATAGATAAAACTTAAGGCATCTATTCTGTGAAATGAATTAACTTCTCTCTCGTGCATCTAGAGTGGTCCCTAGGGATGTGCCATTCTTGGGATAATTGAAAAAATAAACACTCAAAATTATTTTCTGTGATCTGTGGTACAGGTAAGGAACCATGGGCTGGATAGGCCTTTACATTGCATTTAAGCATTTAAAAATTACACTGAACTTTAATGGATCATTGAGTTGGAATGAGGAGGGGATATCCATTAAAAGATTGATTAATAAAATAAGGAAAATAGTAGTGATTTTTAAAAATATACCCTCAAGGATAAATTCTCCTAAATGTACTCACTTGAGACTTGAGATCACATCTATTTCTATAGGAGATTAAGGAGTTGATAAAATACCTCCGTTGAGGGAATCTTGGGTTCTCATCACATATTTCCAGAAAAACATGCTTCATGGATCCTGAAATATAAAAGATCCTCTTCTGATAAAATTAAGATTGTAGTTTTGAATGAATGAATGAATGAAGTTTGGTCAATAAATATCTGCTTATTAAATACTTAAGTGTCTATTCTAGTTGGAAAGACAAGATCAGCACAAAAAATTGTATGAGTCAAGTAAAGGACCCATTTAAAGGGTTTGAACTTGCTTGAAATTGCTTGAAAAAATACTATGGTTATTAAGTGCTAGATTGAATGACATAGTCAACACTGTTCAATAGAAATGTAATACAAGTTACATATGTAGTTTAAAATTTTCTAGGAGCCACATTAAAATACGTTAAAAGAAACAGGTGAAATTATTTTAATAATATTTAATCTAGTATATCAAAAATATTATTTCAATATGCTCTCAACATAAACAAATGAAATATTTTACTTTTTTAAATGAAAGTCTTCAAAATCCAAGGTGTATCTAGTCTCAAGAGCCCAGTTAGCCCATGTGGCTCATATGCTCAGTAACTACATGTGGCTGCTGTATAGAATAGTGCAAATAAAGACTATGTGAGGATAAGTATTGTTTGAAACTTGAACTTAGTGAATTCTCTTTTACAGCAAAGAGTTAAGATCTCTAGTATACTGTCTTGACTCAAGGTTGAGATATAGTGTTGAATAAATTATTTCTGATGTGGCTGAGCTATAGCCTTGAATTCCATAGCTTATCACTTTTGGTTTTCTAATATTTGTATTATTTGAGTAATTTCAAAGAACTAGAGAAAAGTATTGATGTGTTGATTTTATCTCTTTGATTTTCTTGAAATGTAAATATTATATGTATTTAAATTCAAGTGAATGTTTAAGATTAAATAGTGTATGTCTGTATACCTGTATGTATCTATGTGTACACATAGTCACTATTGTTACTGTTATGATAAAGGAATATACTTGCATAGGCATGTGACTTACTTGTCCCTATTCAAATGCAGAAAAATATTTGCTTCTTTCAGTCTAGTACAGTGTCACATATTTTTACTTTTTTTTTTTTTGAGACAGAGTCTCGCTCTGTCACCCAGGCTGGAGTGCAGTGGCTCAATCTCGGCCCACTGCAACCTCCACCTCCTAGGTTCAAGCAATTCTCATGCCTCAACCTCCCAAGCATCTGGGACTACAGGCACCTGCCACCCTGCCTGGCTAATTTTTGTATTTTTAGTAGAAACGGGGTTTTGCCATATTGGCCAGGATGGTCTCGAACTCCTGACCTCAGGTGATCTGCCCACCTCGGCCTCCCGAAGTGTTGGGATTACAGACGTGAGCCACTGTGCCCAGCCTACTTATTTTTTTTTATTACCAAAATAATACTGTTTGTTTTACAATATATTTTCAGGGTTCAATATGTAAGGGAACATTCTCTAGTATCTGAACTTTAGAACCTGGACCCTACCTAGGAAGATTAGCAAGTACACACCACTGAGGAAGGACTTTAAAGAAATATTTAGCTATTTTCAGAAAAAAGGCTCCAGTACTTCAGAATTTATAATAAAGATGTGTGTTCCAAATGTTGTAACTGTTCCATTAAAAGTGATGCTAATGAATCATAGAATCAGTTTAATTTCACTAAACTTAGTTTTTACTATTTTCAAAGCTATACAAACAAATCAATATGAAATTACATCATGTTTTTGCATTTTATCATGGTTCTCATCACTTCCTCTATATAAATGAAGAGAAGAAGCAGTAAAATTCAAATTTTCCTGAATACTTTTGTGTCCAGTGACATTCATTTCGATTCTTTCCAGATACCCTCTTTCAGCAGACACTTGATCAGCGTTTACTGCCTAAGGCTGAGAAGAAACTAGCTGCTCTGTCTAGCTCATTGTACATGTACAACTGTCCTCTAGCTTTGAGATCAGTAGCCAGGGCCTTTCGGTAATCAGCAGCTTACAGTTAAGGGGAAGGGGCAGAGAAGTTTGGTATTTACTCTTGACTTGGAGAAATAATGTGCCTCTAGCATTAATAAGAAATAGCTAAAAGAGTGAAAAGAAAAGTCTGAATACAAGAACAAAGTCAAAGTTCTTTCTTTGAATATGAAAAGAGAAGGGGAGGAAAAAGGAAGAAAGGAAACTGGTTTAGGGGATGGGAAAAATTGCTGTCATTTTAGTATCAAATGAATGAAAAAGTTTTTTAAATATCAGGAAGGAGAGAAAACTGAGGGTTAGAATTTTACTATAATGCTGGGTATAACACAGAACCAAGTAAATTACGGGAGAATTGCATAAATAATAGCAGAGGTTTTGGCATTAGGCATATCTGACCTGAATCCTGACCTGATGAAGCCACTTATTCATCTAGTTACTTAATCCTTTGGGTTGTTTCTATTCTGCATAATTGTGATAATAATAATTGTGAGGAGAATTAAATGAGATTTTTTTAAGGAACTTGGTAAGCATTTAATAAATGTAATTTAGTTATTTATTTCCATAGACTTTCCCATTCTTAATACTGGTGCCATAGTGGGGCCAGGCACAGTGGCTCATGCCAGTAATCCTAGCACTTTGGAAGGCCCAGGCGGGTGGATTGCCTGAGCTCCATCCAGCCTGGGCAACTTGGTGAAACCCCATCTCTACTAAAACACAAAAAATTAGCTGGTTGTGGTAATGTGTGTGTGTAGTCCCAGTACTCAGGAGGCTGTGGCATGAGAATTGCTTGAACCTGGGAGGAGGAGGTTGCAGTGAGCCAAGATTGCACCACTGCATTCTAGCTTAGGTGACGGAGTGAGACTGTCTCAAAAAAAAAAAAAAAAAAATGCTGCCATAGTGGATTAAGATGATGACAAAGAACTCCATTGGAAGGGTGGATTTTCTATTTATTCTACTATGAATTTTGGTGGATTTAACTACTAATGTGGTAAAACTGAGAACATAGAGAATGTCAGCATAAGACTTTATGACATTTTACTAACTGATAAAAGCTCCCCCTAAAATTTGCTATAGTAGTGAAAAGTTCTCATATAAGCTGTATTTAATCTGCCTCAGATATTAAAGCTATTGGTTTCAGAAATTATTCAAAATTGAGAATAACAGAATTACAGGATAAACTTTAGCCACATTCTTTTGAAGGCTGATTATGTAAGTAAAAGATATGATTTATCTGTAGCAGTTTTAGTTTTTTGAAGGTGGCATAGTGATGACCATTTAGCATCTTTGGAGTGTCAAGCACAGAATAGATGTTCAACAGTTATTTGCCTGAGAAATTGAGACTGAGATTGGAGTACTTAACCCACACAAGCTAGTTTGCTTTGTTCTCTTCCATAATTATAGATGTCACTCTTCGATCTACTGCAGATTAGTATCCTTAGTCACCAGGAAAGTTGAGACAAGGCACCTATCATGACATCATCTAAAAGAATGTGCATGTGCTTTATTGACAGGACATCAGTAGCAATATCTTTTATAAAGATACTATCTCAAAGCTTTTATAAAGAATAACACATTATTATAACTAAAGTTAACTGTGGTGAAGCCTGAAAATCAGATCATTTATCCATGGACAGATGTTTAAATTTCATCAAAGTGACTGCCAGACATTTTTGGATCATGTTGTCGGATTAGCCTAATTTTGTACTTCAGAAACATAGAAGGAATCTTTTGTTGGCGGATAGGTTTTTAGAAATTACCAAAGTTTAAATCATTTATTTTACTGATAAGGAAACATTTATATTTAAAACAAGTAAATATAAACCACATACATAGAATGTTTTTACTTCTTCATAAAATAATTTTTTATTTTCTTTATAAATAGTGAGCTATAATAGATTGATTTTAAGGTATGCAGAATAAAGTTTAGAAGAGCCCAGTGATAATACTAGCAACAAAGTAGTGTGTTGGAATACATATTGCTTCATTACATATTACATTATTAAGTGTTATTTTGGTAGTGTTTATAGAGAGCTTTGAGATAAATAGCCTTATCTGACACAATGCAACGTTGTGGTGCCACTGCAATTGTTATTAGGCAATTTTGCAAATGATACTGTGGGAGTGAAGAGAAGAATTGAATAAATGTGAAAATGAGAATAATTTGGACTAGAAACTATAGTGTTTATGATAAATTAGTCTCCAGAAGGTATAAATAATAGGTAATATAAACTCAAAACAGGGAAGGAATCACTTGGAGTTTTGTAAATTTAATACGTTTGTTGGACTTACAGACAAGAAATAAAAGTCTCTATAAGATGTATTTTAATTTTGTTTATATTTAAATTTTGAGTTTTTAAAGAGATAGCAGTACCCAGTTATCTATCAGTTAAGAAATCTGGGTGTTTAAGAAAGTTTGGGTTCCTTCCATTAAAAGGGAGATTTATAAGACTTGGCTTTTGCTTGGCTTTTTCATTTTTTTAAATATCCATTTTTAAGCATATTTTATATTATGGTTCTTCTTTATTTTCAACATTTTACTGTCAAATTCTTTTGCCTTAAGGGAAGATTTATAAAATACTCTATTCTTCAGTGCATTTATATATTATGTCTCTTCCACTGGACCTGTTACTATCTTGTAACTGTTTACAGTGGTCAAGGTTTTTTTTTTTTAATTTGAAACATATTGCTGTGGGGAAATTTCTTCTTCCTGAAATGAGCTCACCTCTATTGCCACACAATAAAAGAATTCTCAGCTTTTGAGAGCTCTGGCTTCCTTATGAAATATGGATAGACTTCTGCTTCTGAAGTGTTTTAGGTTTTTTTCTTTAGATAAGGAAGAAGAGGAATAAATAGTATGAGGTGTGTTTCTTCTTTTAAGACACAGGAATATCTATATCAGATAAATG
This sequence comes from Homo sapiens, assembly GCF_000001405.40. Classification (NCBI taxonomy): domain Eukaryota; kingdom Metazoa; phylum Chordata; class Mammalia; order Primates; family Hominidae; genus Homo; species Homo sapiens. The sequence continues at coordinate 58,054,639 of NC_000002.12, forward strand.
AGAAGAAAATTAAGAAACTTTAAAGCTCTAAATGAGAGAGCTCATTAGAAATTAGCTACTTGGATGATGAAAATTTCTTCATCATCTACACTTAAAGGCATTTATGGTTTTTATACTACTTAGATACTTGATTTTGCAATTAGTATTTCTTTAGAATGTTTGTCCCTGATAGCTCCATCACATGGACTGTTATTCCTGAACACTCTGTTGTATTCTCCATGAAAAAATATTTTAGGAGAAAAGATAGAAAACTCAGCAATTATTTCAAGATAATTGTTGAGGACTTCCCTTGTTTCTTTTAAAAGCATAGCCTTTTGTTAGCCAGGTAGATTTATCTTTTCTTTAACATCTTCGATCAAGTAATACTTGAGGGAAATATTCTGTAGAAAGACATCCATTGAAGGCCAGAAACATCTACAGATGCAATGTGATCCCAAGCAATGAAGCATGTGGCCCTTCATTGGCATTATATGATAACAGGAGGATCTTCTGGCAGAAGAAGTGACTTTTGCTGCGTTCTGCATGCTGCCCCTCCAAACCCATCTTTGATTGGCACCTATGCCCTATTGAAACTGGCATCACACCTTCTGAATGGGCACAGTGCCAGGCTAGCAGATGGGTATGGGCAAAAGCATGCCAGAAACCCAGTATGTGAATCAAGTTTAAGTATCAGGGGCCCAAATTCCCATCCAGGGATATAAAAACTACAGTCTGTTGAGAGCTTTTTGTGCTTAAGGTTAAAGGACATGCCATTTCTACTCCAACTTAGAAGTTGATTAATTTTGAAAGTCAAACAGCAGCTCCTGTGGCTGTGTCAGGCAAAATCCTGTCTTTGGTGAATGAGAATTACTACTTCGTGTAGGGAAGAGAAAGTATTGTAATGAAGTTTCCAATGAGAGTTACTCTCCTGCAAGTGCCTCCAGCACTTAAGCAGCATGCATTCAGTGGAGATGAATATTTCTGTTCTCCAGCAGAGCCAGGTGCAATCAAAGCCAGATCTTCAACCTGCTGCAGTAAAGAACCCTAAATTTAGAAAGGGCAGGCAAAGTTTAGAAGAACTCCTTGGTGGCAGGCAGCTCTTTTCACTATGAGCTGATGAAGCTTCACAAAATTGTATAAAGGAGATGAAGGGAAAACTCCAAATAAAAGACCTTCAGAAAATTTCATCCAGAAACAGAAAGATTTTTAACAAACCAAAGGAAAAAGTTTAGTCCTTTCTCCTCAATGCAGAAAATCTTCTGAGTTTTCTATCAATAAAAACTTAGTTAACCAAAATGTTAGAACCAACTTAATGCATAAGTGACAAAACTTTCTATTTTTACATTTATTTCATTGCATGTCTATCATGTATATAAACTTTGCTTCTTGAATAATGGATTTTGCATAAAATTGAGAACTCTAAACATCATATTTCCTTCTGATTGTCTCACACCCACTACAGAACTCCCCTCCCCCACCCCCTAAAAGAGGGCACGCTTCCTTCTGATCACTTTAATCATATCTTCTAAATGCTCTAAAATTTACAGGAATGCCTGTAAGACCAGCTGTGGCCAAGAGAAGCTTTTCCTAATCGCCTTATAGCCGTTGCTTTTGCTTTTTCACTGTGTAAACTTTATCTATGGAACAGATTCCATGAGACCGTTGTGAATACTTCAACGTATTCAAAACATATAACTGCCACAAATTAAACTACTAAAACTAAAGCTGGTGCATTGTAACTGCCAAGTAAAACTGGCACGTCCCTCTGTCAGACTGCAGGAGAGTGTGCCATACAGTCCTCGGAAAACACAATTCATCCAGAAGCACTCTTGTCACTTGCTCTGATATTAAACCAGAGAAAGTGACATTAATTAAAGAAGTGACATGAGCCAACAAAGGCAATGAATTCTCAGCTTTGGCTCATGTGCAGACCTTAATCCAACCTGTTCTGCTTAGGTAGTGTGGCTATTTCTGAAGAGTAACTAGTGTGGCTACTCACCCCACTTCCTCTCATCTTCCCATTCTGCATCACGTGTTTGAGGAACTAACATTTTATATCCAGGGTTGGACTGGTTAATTGGTACACTGGTAGTCATTGCAGGGCTTCCCAAAATAGTAGTGTGGTGGCATGTGATGCTTTTATTGTACTTGGTAATAGTGTGAGATGTACAACTAGAGGTAGAGGAGAGTTGGTCTAACGAAAAGGCAAGCAACAGCCAAACAGCAGAATACCTAGACTTGGTAGACTGGAAGCGAGGAGGGTCTGCTGCTAGGACTGGTTGTGGAAACAAATGGTGGCTTGGTAGGCTTTATGAAAATTCTGAAATGCTAAAGAGGCATGCTGGGGAGTGTTCATAACTTCTCTCTTTCTTTGTTCCGATGGTGTGCTTTCACACAATGCTCACCTCATTATTTCAGACGGTCACTATTTTGTATGCTGTCTTTTTAACCTGTTTCCCCCAACATGTGTGCACACAGACACTACATTATAAACTGCTTTCAGGCAGTCACTCACAGTGCTTAATATGGCCTTGCATGTTATAGTTCTTAAAAAATGATGTGTTAAATTAACTCTAGAACTGTTCTATTATGATTTTCCCAATAAATAGGTTGTATGAGACAAAAAAATTCCATGCTCTATCCTATATGTGACCTGCGTGTAAGGCACTGTACTTTCAGATTTAGATAAATTCTTTTGTATCTTTTGGGGAGTTTGAAGGGATAAAAGTATGTGTTTATTCTCTTTTCAAGTATATTTTTAAAATACAAGAAGCTGTGTACTTAATCCATAGATTGTAGAATTTATTGTGAAGAGTCTACTCTGTTAAAGCATAGTATGGAGAGGGGACTAAAAAATGGACATTGTGTTAAGACAAATCAGTTTTCTCTTTCTAATAAAACAGTTCTTCTGAGTAGTATTTAATTGAAGTAGACCTAATAGCAAGTATAAACGTTTGTGGGGAAAAGCATGGTGTTTACTATAAAATGGATTGACTTATGTATGTATGCATGTAACATGCATAAGAAATCAACTTTTCAAAGAATGTAAGCACAACGTTAACAGAAAATAAATTATTGGGATTTCTTTTAATCCAAGTCTGTGAAAGGTTTGATTAAGGGTTTTGTACATAGTCAGAAGCTTTTGTTATGGTTTCTGGGCAGGGGTATTTTATGTTTGAGGTCGGGAATTTTCTATCCACATAATTAGTCATGAGGTTTAATGTACATTTTTTTTTTGTATCAGGCAGACAATGTCTTCAAAGAGACAGCAGTGCTGCAAAGGAGCAAGAAAAGAAGGCCAAAGTTGACACACAGAGAGGCAAAACAGTGTAGGAAAAATCAACACGTTTTGCAAAATCAATCATTGAAAATGTGTCAGCATTCAGGAGACTGTCTTTAATTTGCAATCCAAGTGAAATAGAGTATTTAAATATGAGAGGCAGTATTATTGAGCCCAGCATGCCTGCTACCACTTGTTTGACTAGCTCAGAATAGAACACTGAGAGGCAAGGGCTCAAAGTTAAATGAACATTTATACATTTTAAAATCAAATGAAAGATTCAGAGTATATTCATGAATTAATTTTTTTTCAAAACCCTAAATTTAATCAGCTGGAATTACTTTAAAAGTGTCATTCTATTTAACTTTTGGGAATGATGAATTTGCCTTTTAATAGGGATGCTGTATTTTATCATGAAGATGAAACAAACTGTCTTTTGTTAATTATTCCCCAGAGACACTGGCCATTTTTCTCTCTCCAATGCTTAGTGTGGAGTAAAGGCAGCTTCCCGCAAATTTATTTCAAGCAAGAGCAATCGGAAGCTTCGACATGTGTGAAAGAGGCGCATAGAGAACATAGCTTCCATTTCAGGTATTCTGAGTGCCACCTAATGAACCTCTTAGACATAATGTTACCAAAGTCTCACTGATGAGGCCATGAACATAGAACACAGAAAAGTAAAAAAGAATGAAAGAAGAGTCTGGTAAAGAGTAGTAGATGTGTCAGATGTGTCTGTAGTATCTGATAAATGCTGGGACTAGTTTTTGAATTCTTTTTTTTTAGGAAATTATCATATTTATTATAAAGTACTAAAATCCTTCACTTAGTGTGTGCCAAGCTCTGTGTTAAGTGCATTGCATGAATTATTTCATTGAATCCTCTCAGCAGCTTAACTAAGGAAGACATTGAGGCCTAAAGAGGATACGTAAATTACCTCCTGGCCACAATTTAAAAAATGTCTCTTCTATATTTGGACTCTGGTCCCTGCCCTACTGATGTCCCTTGTCCAAGAACACTTGAATTTATTGTTAGCCAGATAAAATAGTGACAAGTGGCATGCTTATAACAAGCTCATTTCTAAAGTAACAGCAAAATATGTAACTGATAGTATTGGCAGCTAATTTAAGAAATCTGTTAGTGATGATGCTAATAATGGTGTCATTTTCATTCAGATTGACAAGGCATAGAGCATCAGTGATATGTTTTTGATATTATTAAGATCTCAAAATCTGTGAAAGAACATCTGATATTTATAGTAAACCTAATGTTAGGCACTGGAACAATTACATTAAAAATGTACCATACCTCAAACAATATTTTTATGGAAAAAATTGCGAATAGTCATCCAATAGTTCATGCAATCTGATGAGAAAGATTTGTTGGATTTTCATGCCTTTGCAAAACTGAATACATTTGTCTAGTTTTATACATTTTATACATTTGTTTTGAGTCAAATAAGCAACAGGAAGATCTAAATAGACCTGTTTAAATCTCTGTGATATGATTTTAATAAGCACCATATAAAAATAGATACCTTTATAAATATTGAATGATTCTTGACTATATTTTTTCATTGGATAATAATTTAAAGATACACTGCTTAGAAAAGTAGGCCTTTTAAAGAGTAAAACAAACAGAAAATACTTAAGATAAATAGGATCGTGTTAACATATCCCTTTATGGAATTTGTTTCAGATACCACTATATTTTAGTTATAATAAAAGTCTAGGTTTTGGAAAATTATTTTTAAATAACTAAAATTAGTTATTTCAAGATATTATACAGTAGTAATGATTATTATATACTCAAGGGTGATTTCATGAAAAAGTTAGAACATTTCATGTAGTGGTAAACCTTTGGGTGTTTATAATAGACAACAGATAGTTATTAGCTATTACAATGCAAGATTTTATACTAGAATACTTTTTTATTTGGTGTATATATATTTAGCAAGGAAAAGAATGAACAAACACAAGTTACTACATTAAATACATGTTCTTGAGCAGTTACAGGGATATGGGATTATTAATGTCAAATTCTGGAGAATGTAAAGAAAAGCTATTCATTATACTTGATCTTGTTTCTATTAAAAAATCATGTATTACAGTTCTATCTTACATCTCCAATGTCAAATGTATTATAATTGAGAATGGAGAATTAGTTATGTAAACCTTTTATCTTACACAGTGTAAGGAGGATAGTAGAAGAAAAAGTAGTAAAACCAACAACAACAACAAAAAAATCCCACACAAGACACTTCAAGAAAAGTGAGAAGAAAACAAAACAAACCTGTATAGCTAACAGGTAAATGTTGCTGTGTGATGAAAAGAGGAAGAAAAAATTGCCTAGTCTTCCAGAATAATCAGAATGTCTACTCTAGCAGAAAGCTTTTGAGCAAGATAAATCTTCTGAAATTAACTAGTTTAATGTAGATTGACTATAATAAAGAACTGCTGTAAAAAATAAGTATTTTTTTGGGGAGGGGAGCACTTTTAAGTTCCTTCTGACTGTGAAAACCTGTTAAATCCTGAAAGAGGGAGTTAAATTTATAAATGATCTGTTGATATTGGCACATGGATAGAGGCCTTAAGGCAATAATGGATGCAGCTGGTAAAGAAGCAGATCTCAGTCACAGAAAAATGAGATAAAGAGACCATCAAGAAGAAAAAATAATGGTTCTATTATCTGTTTATGTAGTATATCTTTGGATAGTTAAGAATATCACATGAAAATGTAAAGACATGCAAAATAAAGACCATAATGAAAAACGTGAGAAAGATTTCCCTTATTTACAGCCTAATTTCAGCATAAAGATTAGAAAGTGCTTCAAAAGAGCAGGGCTAAAGATTCTTACATACTAGGTTTTTAAACCTAAATTACAGAATTTACAGTATTATTTAAGGAAGGGAGGTCAACTACTTCAGCTCTCACTTCATACACTTTGAAAATAGGATTTATGATGGCTAAGAAAAATAATAGCTCTCATTCTATTGTATGGCCAAATTGAATGTCTCTTAGGAGGTAGAAGGAAACATTTGAGGTCTTAGTAAACCTGAAATCATTTCTTAATAGATTATCGCTAAAATAGGCTTGAAAGGAGTGTATGATTGAAAATGACTTACAAGAGATAAATGAGTTAAAATATTAAGAAAAGATTTGATGATATAAAGCAAAACCAGTTTAGTAAAACTTGGGGGATTTTTTTTAAGAACTGTAAGTTATGAATGTAGAGTTTCATAACAAAATTCAAATTTCTAAATTAAATTGATGAACTGTGGTTCAGAATTATAGGGTTAACAGTTAAGTTACATATCAACCCTTTAGGGAAGCTCAAAATGTATTTAGTTAATAATAATAAAAACAGCTAAGTTAGAGTTTATTAGTGTTAATGTTTGAGAAATAGATAAATGGGTTGGAAGATATAATTTGTGGTAAAATGAAATAAGTATGTAATATATACCACAACCAGTAAGTAACTGGCCAAAGACAGCAAAGAAAAATAACAATTATATACATTAGTGTATTATAATAAAATTGTCAGTTAACTACATTGGAAAAAAAGTCTGTAAGCCTCAATTAAAGAAGATCAGTGACAGAACTTCATAATCGGTTGCCAAAAAAGCAATACTTAAAATGATAAGATATAAAGACACTAAAAGGTTAAGGTTTTTCATGCACATGTAAGTAAACAGTAAAGCAATAGCAGGATCTGTTGTTATTTTATATTCCACAGTAAAAATCATTAAGAGAGCTAAACAAGGATGTATATAGGGTAAAAGGTTAGTAGAACAAAGTGAAAATGTAATGATAGAATATAATATAATGAGAATGCTATTGTTTATTTTTATCCTTGAAGAGAAAGCAGACCTTCAATAAGAAATTGTAAATATGACTGGAGATATTATAAATAAATTCAGAAAATGACAAACCAGTTACCACTAAGTCTTCACACTGGTCTGTATGGAACCCAGGTGTAGAGGTGAAAGGGGTAAGGGTTCTGGTCTCCTGTCCCATGTTTCAACCTTAGCATTTCTGCTTTATCTGTTGCATATTCAGGCTTACCTTGTCTTATTGCACATCACTTTATTGTGCTTTGCAGATACTGTGTTTTTTTACACACTGAAGGTTGTGGCAACCCTGCATCAACCAAATCTATTAGTGCTATTTTTCCAGCAGCGTGGGCTTCATGCATGTCTCTATGTCACATTTTGGTCATTTTGACAATATTTCAAACTTTTTTGTTATTATATCTGTTACGGTGATCTGTGATCAGTGATCTTTCTTGTGACTATCATAATTGCTTTGAGGAATCATGAACTGCACCCATACAAGACGGTGAATTTAATTGGTAAATGTAGCACATGGCCTGACTGCACCACTCACCAGCCATGCTCCCATCATTCTCCCTTTCCTCAGACCTCTCTATTCTCTGTGATACAGCAATTTTGAAATTAGGCCAATTAATAACCCTAACGTGGCCTTTAAGTATTCAAGTGAAAGAAAGAGTTATGCATCTCTCACTTTAAATCAAAAGCTAGAAATAATTAAGCTTAGTGAGGAAGGCATGTCGAAAGCTCAGATAGGTTAAAGGCTAGGCCTCTTAAACACCAGTTAGCCCAATTGTGAATGCAAAGGAAAAGTTCTTAAAAGAAATTAAAAGTGCTAAAGTGAAGCAGCCTTACTGCTGATAAGGAGAAAGTTTCAGTGGTCTGGATAGAAGATCAAACCAGCCACAACATTCCCTTAAGCCAAAGCCTAATCCAGAGCAAGCTCCTAACTCTCTTCCATTCTGGGAAAGCTGAGAGAGGTGAGGAAGCTGCAGAAGAAACGTTTGAAGCTAGCAAAGGTTGGTTCATGAGGTTTTAAGGAAAGAAGTCATCTCCAAAACATAAAAATGGAAGGTGAAGTGGCAAGTGCTGATGTAGAAGCTGCAGCAAGTTATCCAGAAGTTCTAGCTGAGATCAATGATGAAGGTGGTTACACTAAATAACAAATTTTCAGTGTAAATGAAACAGCCTTCTATTGGAAGAAGATACTGTGTAGGACATTCATTGCTAGAGAGAAGTCAATGCCTGGGTTCAAAGCTTCTAAGGACAGGATGCCTCTCTTCTTATGGGCTAGTGCAGATGATGACTTTAAGTCGAAGCCAGTGCTTACCATTCAGAAAATCCTAAGGCCCTTAAGAATTATGTTTACTATCTATTCTGCTTGTACCCTGTAAATGGAACAACAAAGCCTGGATGACAGCCCATCTTTTTACAGCATGGTTTACTGATTTTTTTTTTTAGTTTTATTTTTCTTATTTTAAAAATTGTGTATATTTAAGGCATATGTCACAGTTTTGTTTTTTTTTTTTTTTTAACATATGAGTGAGAACAACTGTCCCTCACCTATTTTGGGAGAAGAGGGTAGATGAAGAAGAAGTGGGTTAAAGGGTACAAACATACAGCGAGCTAAAAGGAATGAATTCAGTGTTTGATAGCAGTGTAGGATGTCTATACTTAACAAAAATGTATTGTACTTGGGTAATGGGCACCCTGAATACCCTGACTTGGTCACTATGGTTGTATGCATGTAACAGATTTTCTCATGTACCCCATACATTTGCATGAATAATAGAGTTTACTGAATATTTTAAGCCTGCTGTTGAAACCTACTTCTCAGAAACAAAAAAATTGCTTTCAAAACATTACTGCTTGTTGACAATGCACTTTAGTTACCCAAGAGCTCTGATGGAGATGTACAAGGAGATTAATGTTGTTTTCATGCCTGCTAACATAGTGTCCCTTCTGTAGCTCATGGATCAAAGGAGTGACTTTAACTTTCAAGTTCTTACTATTTAAGAAATACATTTCGTAAGGCTTCAGCTGCCATAGATAATGATTCCTCAGATGGATCTGGGCAAAATGAATGGAAAGTCTTCTGGAAATGATTCACCATCCAGATGCCATTAACAGCATTCATGATTCAGGGAAGGAGATAAAAATAGCAGTGTTAACAAGAGTTTGGAAGAAGTTGTTTCCAACCCTTGTGGGTGACTTTGCGGGGTTCAAGCCTTCAGTGAAGAAGCAACTATAGATGTGACAGAAATTGCAAGAGAACTGGAGTTAGAGCTGAAAACTGAAGATGTGACTGAACTGCTCAATCTCATGATAACATTTAATTCATGAGGAGTTGCTTCTTAAGAATGAACAAAGAGAGTGGTTTCCTGAGATAGAATCTATCCTGGTAAAGATGCCATAAACATTGTTGAAATGACAGCAGAGTTTTAGAGTATTACATAAATTTAGCTGATAAAGCAGTAGCATGGTTTGAGAGGATTGTCTTCAATTTTGAAAGGTCTGTTGTAGATAAAATGCTAACAAACAACATTGTGGGCTACAGAGAAATCTTTTGTGAGAGCGAGAGTCAATTGATGTGGCAAACTTCATTGCTATCTTTAGAAATTGCCACAGTCACCGCAGTCTTCAGCACCCACTACCCTGATCAGTCAGCAGCTATCCACATCAAGACCCTCCACAAGCAAAAAGATAACTTGCTAAAAGTTCAGATGATTGCTAAAATTTTTTTAGCAATAAAATATTTTTAAATTAAGGCATGTACGTTGTTTTTTAAAAGATACTGCTGTTGTACCCTTAATAAACTACAGTATAGTGTAAATATAACTTTTATATGTACTGGGCAACCAAAAAATTCACACTACTTGCTTCATGGCAATATTCATTTTATTGCATTGTTGTGGAACCGAACCTGCAGTATCTCCAAAATATCAGGATTCCAAGAAACATTCCATTACTAAAAGAGTTTGAAGATAACTGATTGTGCTATAATAATAAGTTATAAAGTGAAATATGTAATAGGAAAAGTTTTAATTTGGAGGGTTTTTAACAGTGTTACAGATAATACACTTTTTTTTCAAGTATACAAGAATTTATTTTAAAAATATGTGTGATTAAGAAAACATAAACATTTTTAACATGTCATAGTTTTGGAATCTAATCCAGGAAACAAATACCAGTATCACTTTGCTTGTTCTGTTTTTCTCTTTATCACTTACCTTCTTTCTCATTTCTGCATATTCAGTTTGTGCTCATTTCAAGTCCACCTTCCCTTGAAGCCTACTGCTTTTCTTTGTGCATTTTCTACCACAGTTTTACATTGTGTATTTATTTTCTGCAATATTTTTGCTTCTATTTTATAACTAAGCATATTCTATTTTGTATTATGATTATGTACTTGTATCTTTTTTCTTATTTATAAAAATAAAGAGAAAAAAATCTTTGTACATTTCTGTGAATTTTAACACACCCACCAACATAATTAGGATACAGGACAGATTCATCACCCTAAAATCTTCCTCATACTATCCCTTTGTGACCATAACCTCCTTTTACCCCTAATCTCTGGCAGCCATTGATCTATTCTGCATCACTATAGATGTGGCTTTTGGGGAATGTATGGGATTACTATAAATGGAATCATGTAATATGTGTCATTTGTGATTTTTTTTCCACTTAGTGTAATGCCTTTGAGATTGACCCAAGTTGTTGTGTGTGTCAGCAGTTTTTTATTGTCAAGTAGTAGTCTGTTGTATGAATGTATCACAGTTTGTGTATTCTACCATTGAAGGACATTTGGGTAGTGTGATTCCTTCAACTTTTTCTTCAAAATTGTTTTAGCTATTTTAATTCCTTTGCTTTTCCATATACATAATTAATTTATATTTCCAGAACAACGACAACAAAAATTGCTGGGATTTTAATTGATATTGAGCTAAATCTATTGATAAATTTGGGGAAAATTAACATTTCTACTATGTAAAGTCATCCAAACCATAAGTACAGCATGTGTCCTCATTTCTTTAGGTCTTCCCTGATTTCTTATATCAGCTTTTTGTAGTTATTAGCATACTAGTCCTATACATGTATTGTTGGGTATATATTGATATATACATTTTTTGGAGCTATTGAAAATGTTCTTGGTTTTTAAATTTTAGTTTCCATTTGTACATTAGTAGTATATTAGTAGTATGTTGTGTGTTGTGTGTTGTGTGTTGACCTTACATGCTATGAATTTGGTAAACCCAGTTATTCTAGGATTGGGTTTTCTTTTGTGGCAGATTCTTTGGGAATTTCCACGTACACAATCACATCATCTGGAGATAGGGACACCTTCCTTTCCAAATGTGTGCTTTTCATTTATATTCTTAACTTCCTGCGCTGGCTAGGACTTACAGTGATTTATTGAATAGAAATAGCGAGAGTGCTCATTTTTGACTTGTTCTCATTTTTAGGGAGAATGTATTCAGCTTCTCACTATTCAGTGTGATGTTAACTGTAGGTTTTCATACCTGCTCTTTATCAAGTTAAGCATACTGAGTTTTGATCATAAAAGGGTGTTGAATTTTGTCAATTGCCTTTTCTACTTCAATTGATATGATCAGGTGGTTCTTCTTTAGATTATTAATATGGTAGATGACATTGATTTTTGAATATTGAAACATTCTTGCATTCCTCAAATTAATTTGATTATGGTGTATTATTTTTATGTATTTCTGGATTCCATTTGCTTATATTTTGAGAATCTTTCCATCTTTGTTAAGGAGGACTATTAGTGTATACTTTTATTTATTTATTTATTTCCCCTACCATCTTTGTCTAATTTTGTATCAGGGTAATCCTGGCCTCATAAAATGAGTTCTGAAGTATTCTTTCTTTTGTTTTCTGGAAGTGAGTGTGTAGAATTAAGTGTTACTCATTTTTAAAATGTTTTGTATAGTTATACAGTGAAGCTAACTGGGTTTAGAAATATCTTTTTCAGAAAGGCATTCTTTTAAAAAAAATGGTTTCACTTTCTTTAGTGGTTATTTAGGACTAATCTGGTTATTTGTTTTAGGTAACTTAGTAGTTCATGGTTTTTAAGGAATTGCTCCATTTGTCATCAGTTGTGATGGTTAATATTGTCAACTTGATTGGATTGAAGGATGTGAAGTATTATCCCTGGATATGTCTGTGAGGGTGTTGCCAAAGCAGATTAACATTTGAGTCAGTGGATTGGGAGAGGTAGACCCACCCTCAACCTGAGTGGGCAGCATCTAATCAGCTTCCAGTGAGACTAGAACAAAGCATGCAGAAGAAGGTGGAAAGAGCAGACTTGCTGAGTGTTCCAACCCTCATCTTTCTCTCCTGCTGGATGCTTCCTGCTCTTGAAGATTGACTGACATAAAGACTGCAGGTTCTTCAGCTTTTGGACTCCTGGACTCACACCAGTGGTTTTTCAGGGGCTCTCGGGCCTTCAGCCACAGATTGAAGGCTGCACTGTTGGCTTCCCTGCATTTGAGGTTTTGGGACTCAGACTGGCTTTGTTGCTTCTAAGCTTGCAGACGGCCTGTTGTGAGACTTCACCTTGTGATCATGTGAATCCTTAATACACTCCTTAATAAACTCCCCTTCATATATACATCTATATACATCTATTAATTCTGTCCCTCTAGAGAACCCTGACTAATACAGTTGTCAAATTTATGGGTATAGAATTGTTAATATTTATTATATTTAAATGTAATTAGGTTTTATAGTGATAGTCTCTCATTTTTGATGTTGCTCTTTCAAATCATGTTTTCTTTTTTGTCTTGATACAAGTTTATAGATTTTATTGATCATTTCAGAGAAATAGCTCTTGGTTTCATTTACTCTATTCCATTTCATTGACTTCTGGTTATTTTCTTTATAATTTTTTTCCATTAAGTCCTGCTTAGGCTATATCTCACAGATTTTTAAATATTGTGGTTGTCTTGTGTATTATATCTCCATTCATTGAAAATCCCTTCAGTTCATGTTACATGTTTTGCTCCGTCTGTTAAATATATTTTGAAGAACTGAAGAAGAGACACACAATCTATTACATTTTCCCAGTTATTGATCATGTTTTCTCTTCCTTTATTCCTAATATTCCAAATTTCCTTGTGTAACTTTTCTTTTTCCTCAATATCTTTTTTTCTTTTCTTTTCTTTTCTTTTCTTTCTTTTTTGTTTTTGTTTTGTTTTTTTTTGAAACAGAGTATCGCTTTGTCACCCAGCCTGGAGTGCAGTGGCACAATCTTGGCTCACTGCAGCCTGCACCTCCTGGGTTCAAGCAATTCCCCTGCCTCAGCCTCTCAAGTAGCTGGCACTACAGGTGTATGCTACGACGCCCAGCTAATTTTTCTATTTTTAGTAGAGATGAGGTTTCACCATGTTGCCCAGGCTGGTCTCAAACTCCTAACCTCAAGTGATCTGTCCACCTTGGCCTCCCAAAGTGCTGGGATTACAGGCTTTTGTACTTCAATATCTTTCTTTAGAAATTCTTAACACAGCAAGTCTGCTGACCATTAATTCTCTTTAGTTTTCTTCACCTGAGAATGTCTTCATTTAGTTTCTTTTCCAAAAGGTATTTTTGCTGGATGTTGGATTGATAATTTTTTTCCCATCTTCATCATTTCTGATGATAAATTTGCAGTCATTTGAGCCATTGTTCCCCTATACATAATGCATTGTTCACTCTGGCTGCTTTCAAGATTTTTCTTTGTTTTTAGATTTCAGATTTGACTATAATGTGTCTGGGCATTGATTTCTTTGGGTTTATCCTATTGGGGGTTCTTTGACATTATTGAGTCTGTAGGCTTATGTGTATATAAAACTTGGAACATTTCAGTCCTTATTTCATCAAATGTTTTTTCAGTATCACAAGCTTCCTTCTCTTCTGGGATTCTACATGTTCAATGTTTTGTTACTGCCTATAAGTTTCTAAGGTGGTGTTCAATTTTTTCATAGTTTATCTCTCTGTTGTTTAGGTTGGATCATTTTCCTTTGATCTATCATCAAGTTCAGTGACTTTTTCTTATGTCATCTCCCTAATTGTATTGCACCCCCTCAGGAAAAAAAAAAAAAAAAAACAAAAACTCGGTTATGTATCTTTTAGTTTCAAAAACATCATTTGATTCTTTTTTGTATTTTCTGTCTTTGTTGCATTTTTCTGTTTTTCCCTTTGTTTCAAAAGTGTTTGTCTTTATTTATTGAAACATTTTTATAATGGTTGCTTTAAAGTCTGTCAGATAATTTCAACATCCCTGTCATTTTGTCATTATTATCTATTCATTGTCTTTTCATATATGAGTTTTTTTCTGCTTCTTTGTATGCCTAGTAACTCTGAATTATTTCATGGATATGTTGAATATTATGTTGTAAGAATTTGGGTCTCTTATTT